>NC_000002.12:31645128-31797878 GCF_000001405.40 Homo sapiens | reverse complement strand
ATGTTGACAGTGGGGTTTTAAAGTCTCCCATTATTATTGTGTGGGAGTCTAAGTCTCTTTGTAGGTCTACAAGGACTTGCTTTATGTATCTGGGTGCTCCTGTACAGGTACATGTATATTTAGGATAGTTAGCTCTTCTTGTTGAATTGATCCCTTTACCATTATGTAATGGCCTTCTTTGTCTCTTTTGATCTTTGTTGGTTTAAAGTCTGTTTTATCAGAGACTAGGATTGCAACCTCTGCCTTTTTTTGTTCTCCATTTTCTTGGTAGATCTTCCTCCATCCCTTTATTTTGAGCCTATGTGTGTCTCTGCACATGAGATGGGTCTCCTGAATGAAGCACACCAATGGGTCTTGACTCTTTATCCAATTTGCCAGTCTGTGTCTTTTGATTGGAGCATTTAGCCCATTTACATTTAAGGTTAATATTGTTATATGTGAATTTGATCCTGTCATTATGATGTTAGCTGGTTATTTTGCTCGTTAGTTGATGCAGTTTCTTCCTAGCATCGATGGTCTTTACAATTGGCATGTTTTTGCAATGGGTGGTACTGGCTGTTCCTTTCCATGTTTAGTGCTTCCTTCAGTAGGGCAGGCCTGGTGGTGACAAAATCTGTCAGCATTTGCTTGTCTGTAAAGGATTTTATTTCTCCTTCACTTATGAAGCTTAGTTTGGCTGGATATGAAATTCTGGGTTGAAAATTCTTTTCTTTAAGAATGTTGAATATTGGCCCCCACTCTCTTCTGGCTTGTAGAGTTTCTGCCGAGAGATCAGCTGTTAGTCTGATGGGCTTCCCTTTGTGGGTAACCCGACCTTTCTCTCTGGCTGCCCTTAACATTTTTTCCTTCATTTCAACTTTGGTGAATCTGACAATTATGTGTCTTGGAGTTGCTCTTCTCAAGGATTATCTTTGTGGTGTTCTCTGTATTTTCTGAATTGGAATGTTGGCCTGCCTTGCTAGGTTGGGGAAGTTCTCCTGGATAATATCCTGCAGAGTGTTTTCCAACTTGGTTCCATTCTCCCTGTCACTTTCAGGTACACCAATCAGACGTAGATGTGGTCTTTTCACATAGTCCCATATTTGTTGGAGGCTTTGTTCATTTCTTTTTACTCTTTTTTCTGTAAACTTCTCTTCTTGCTCGTTTCATTCATTTGATCTTCAGTCACTGATACCCTTTCTTCCACTTGATCGAATTGGCTACCGAAGCTTGTGCATTCATCACGTAGTTCTCGTGCCATGGTTTTCAGCTCCATCAGGTCATTTAAGGACTTCTCTACCCTGGTTATTCTGGTTAGCCATTCATCTAATCTTTTTTCAAGGTTGTTAGCTTCTTTGCGTTGGGTTCATACTTCCTCCTTTAGCTCGGAGAAGTTTGATCATCTGAAGCCTTCTTCTCTCAACTTGTCAAAGCCATTCTCTGTCCAGCTTTGTTCCATTGCTGGCGAGGAGCTGTGTTCCTTTGGAGGGGGAGAGGTGCTCTGATTTTTATAATTTTCAGTTTTTTTGCTCTGTTTTTTCCCCATCTTTTTGGTTTTATCTAGCTTTGGTATTTGATAATGGTGACGTACAGATGGGGTTTTGGTGTGGATGTCCTTTCTGTTTGTTAGTTTTCCTTCTAACAGTCAGGACCCTCAGCTGCAGGTCTGTTGGAGTTTGCTGGAGGTCCACTCCAGACCTGTTTGCCTGGGTATCAGCAGCAGAGGCTGCAGAACAGTGAATATTGCTGAACAGCAAATGTTGCTGCCTGATCGTTCCTCTAGAAGCTTCGTCTCAGAGGGGCACCTGGCTGTGTGAGGTGTCAGTCTGCCCCTACTGGGGGGTGCCTCCCAGTTAGGCTACTCAGGGGTCAGGGACTCACTTGAGGAGGCAGTCTGTCCATTCTCAGATCTCAAACTCCGTGCTGCGAGAATGACTACTCTCTTCAAAGCTGTCAGACAGGGATATTTAAGTCTGCAGAGGTTTCTGCTGCCTTTTGTTTGGCTATGCCCTGCCCCGAGAGGTGGAGTCTACAGAGGCAGGCAGGCCTCCTTGAGCTGCAGTGGGCTCCACCTAGCTCGAGCTTCCCAGCTGCTTTGTTTACCTACTCAAGCCTCAGCAATGGCAGGCGCCCCTCCCCCAGCCTCGCTGCCACCTTGTAGTTCAATCTCAGACTGCTGTGCTAGCAAAGAGGGAGGCTCTGTGGGCGTGGGACCCTTCGAGCCAGGCACGGGATATAATCTCCTGGTGTGCCGTTTCCTAAGACTGTTGGAAAAGTGCAGTATTAGGGTGGGAATGATTCGATTTTCCAGGTGCCATCTGTCACAGCTTCCCTTGGCTAGGAAAGGGAATTCTCTGACCCTTTGCACTTCCTGGGAGAGGCGATGCCTCGCCCTGCTTCGGCTTACACTTGGTGGGCTGCACCCACTGTCCTGCACCCACTGTCCGACAAGCCCCAGTGAGATGAACCCGGTCCCTCAGTTGGAAATGCAGAAATCACCCGTCTTCTGCGTCACTCATGCTGGGAGTTGTAGACTGGAGCTCTTCCTATTCGGCCATCTTGCTTCTTTTTTTGAGACAGAGTCTTGCTCTGTCGCCCAGGCTGCGGCTCACTGCAACCTTTGCCTCCTGGGTTCAAGCGATTCTCCTGCCTCAGGCTCCTGAGTAGCTGGGGTAACAGGTGCGCACCACTGTGCCTGGCTAATTTTTGTATTTTTAGTAGAGATGGAGTTTCACCATGTTGGTCAGGCTGGTTTCGAACTCCTGACCTCGTGATCCGCCCACCTTGGCCTCCCTAAGTACTGGGATTACAGGCATGACCACCGCACCTGGCCTTATTTCATTTCTTAATAGGTGCACGTTCTACCCATAGTTTCTACTTGTTATTTATTGACAAGTAAGGAAGTTACAGAAAGGAAAAGAAATTATGGCCTTTCCTATCTTTCCCTTTCTTTCTATGTTATTCGTTTCCAGCATAAGTGGTTAGCTAATATAGGAAAGTAACATGAATAAGAAAGGAAATGGTAGGATCTCTTGATTGTTTGTGTTTCTTAGAATGTCTTTGTCTTCTTTCTGCATTTATTGCAGGATTTGGTTTGAATGTAAAGTTTGGGGGTTTCAGCACTCCTGTTACTCGGTCATAGATGTAACACACTTACCTTGTACTTCGTATGAGTCTCCACAAGCTCTTACATGCTGTGGGTCCAACTGAACACTGTGCTCATGGGGCATTGCTTTTTCCAAATTTTAGATTTCTGAGCAAAATAAATGCTACATTTTTAAAGCTATGAAATTTTGTGGCGGTTTGTTATGTAGTGATAGTAACTGGAATATATACCAAAATAGGTCTGTACCTTTGAAAATGTAATCTCCTCAGTCATGACTCTCAATAACGAAAGTGATGTTACATTAGAATCAAGTGGGTCACATTTTCAAAATATAGCAAAAGTCCATGACGGTATAGTCTATGATAACATGAATTTGGATATAACAAAATTGACTTCTGTCCTCCACCCCACCTTGTTCTCAAAATCCCCATCATATTTAACTTGGAGAAGAAAACCACCACCTGGAGTGCCAAACTGCAACGGGGACCTAGACAGATTCAGATTGTGCCACTGGAGCCCTGGAATTGGATTGCTGGATAGACTCACTGTGTTAATTTATTTAATCTTGGATCAAGGTAATACTAAATTTTATGTTATGGAATATTTTGTACCCAACTTACTATGTTACAGTGGGGTTTTATGTATGGCTGACCGAATCAATCTTTCCAAATTCATTTCCTCTTCCTAGATCCACAGGTAAACTACATTTTCCAGGGACTTTGAGTCAATGTGTGGCAGTATGACTAATTCTTGCCAATAGAATGTGAGCAGAAATGAGATGACATTTCCAGTTGAGACAGTTATGAATGTGCCTTCTCATTTTTTTCTCCCCTTGTTGTCAACTGGATGGCACATTGTTGAAAATGGGGGATGCCCAGCATGGAAGAAGACTGAACCATCACTTAGAGGAGAGCTGCTTACCCCTCACTGGGTTGTGGCATGAACAATAAATACACTTTTAAGATACTGAAATTTGGGAGTTTTAATTTTCACTAGAGCATAGCCTAGTCTATGTAAGGAATTTAAAGGGGATTGCTGCTGTAACCCTAAAATATGTGTTATTGGCTTAATAGTTGAATACTGGAGAGTGAGGAAACTGGTATTCGGGGCTGCAGAGATGGCAGATCTATGGTATAGACTGGTAAAGTATTTGGTAAAACTGCTTCCTGTAATATCTTGGGAGGTAGGCCATGGCCCTACTGAGCCAGCAGCTCTGGGGGAAATGATTATAAAGAGCCAAAATGTTATTGCATGTTGGTTTCTATTTGCTGCATTTTGGGAAAGTATTACAAGAAAGGGATGAGGTTAGGAGATAATTGGCGGGTGTAACCAGAAATAAAAGAAATAAAGAGACTGTAAAAATTTGGGGCATTGAAAGGTTGGAAAAATCCAACGGCTTCTAGGCTCCCAAATGTAGGTAATAAGACAGAGGCAAAGTCCTTGAACGACAGGCAAAGATTAGGTTAAGAACATAGCTATTCCATTCAAGGTTGATATCTTCAAGGTAACCTGTTTTTATTTATTTCAGAGAAAGAGATATGATGAGTGAAGGAGTAAAAAGAAAGGCAGGTTTGAGAAAGAACTTTGGGTTCTTATTAACGTAAGGCATGGGTTTATTGCAAACATATCATTCTTTGAGAAAATTATATTGCCACATAATCCAATCTTGGAGCGTTTCAGACTTAAACGAACCCTTAGGCTCCTAAAGGTCCACATGCAGGAGAAGTAGGCTATAAAATTTGTCCAGTCCCCAAGAAGGACAGGACATACACCTTCAGATGCTTGAAACAAGGAGAATAGGTTAGCTGGGCGTAGTGGTGCACACCTGTGGTCCCAGCTATCAGGAGTCTGAGGTGGGAGGATTGCTTGAGCCCAGGAGGTTGAGGCTGCAGGGAGCCGTGTTCATGCCACTGCACTCCAGCCTGGGTGACACAGCGAGAGACCCTGTCTCAAACAACAATAGCAACAACAATAACAACAACAAGCCAGGAGAATAGAAAAGAGAGAATCTCTCACAGTGCTGATCCAGGGACTAGAGAAAATGAGGAAATTCTTCCCAGGGGGCAAAAAACAGGGGCTTAATGGAATTTCTTCCACAGGGCAGAGATAGGTGTCTACCCAGATGATTCCACAACTGCTATGAACTAGTGATTGTTGTGTATCTTTCATTCTTTCCTTTTTCAAATGGAGTTTTAAAAATTGGCAAAAATTTTATACACTGTGGAATGGCAAAATCAAGCTAATTAGCATATTCATTACCTCACATACTTTTGTTTTTTGGTAATGAGAACACTGAACATCTACTCTCATCAATTTTCAAGTGCCTAACACATTGCTATTAACTGTAGTCCCCCATGTTGTGTAATAGAGCTCTTGAACTTTTTCATCCTGATACCTCCCCAATCCCTTTCTTCTCAGTCTCTAGTAATCCCCATTGACTTTCTGCTTCTGAGTTTGACTTTTTAAAAATGTATGTATGTAGGTATTTATTTTTATACAGTTTTAAAAGTAACCTTATAATGTTGTTCTCCTCATTTTCAAAGGAACACTTGAAAATTTTGTTTTTAGTATTTAATGTTTATGGGTACATAGTATATATTTATGGCATATGTGAGCTATTTGGATGCAGGCAAACAATGTGTAATAATTATTAGGGTAAATGGGATATCTGTCACCTCCAGCATTTATTCTTTGTGTTACAAATAATTCAATTATACTCTTTTTTTTCTTTTTGTTTGAGACAGGATCTCACTCTGTCACCCAGGGTGGAGTGCAATGGAATGATCTCGGCTCACTGCAACCTCCACTTCCCGGGTTCAGGCAATTCTTCCACCTCAGCCTCCCAAGTAGCTGAGACTACAGGTGTGCAACACCGTGCCCAGCTAATTTTTTATTTTTTAGTAGAGACAGGTTTTCACCATGTTGGCTCCCAAAGTGCTGGGATTACAGGCATGAGCCACCATGACTGGCCTCAATTATACTCTTTTAGTGATTTTTAAATGTACAATTAAATTATTGACTATAGCAACCTTGTGGTGCTTTCAAATACTAGATCTTATTCATTCTTTCTATTTTTGTTTGTACCTGTTAAACATCCCCCCATCCCCCAACCTCCCCCACTACCTTTTCCAGTCTCTGGTAACCTTCATTCTATTCTCAATCTCCATGAGTTCAATTGTTTTGATTTTTAGCTCCCACAAATGAGTGAAAACAAAGTTTGTCTTTCTGTGCATGGCTTATTTCACTTAATATAATGACCTCCACAGCTCTATTCACAAATGACAGGATCTCATTCTTTTTTATGGCGGAATAGTACTCCATTGTGTATATGCAACACATTTTCTTCTTCCATTCACCTATTGATGGACACAGGTTGTTTCCAAATCTTGACTGTTGTGAATCGTGCTACAATAAACATGGGAGTGCAGATATCTCTTTGATATACTGATTTCCTTTCTTTTGAGTATATACCTAACAGTGGAATTGCTGGATCATATGGTAGTTCTATTTTTAGCTTTTTGAGGAACCTCCAAACTGTTCTCCATTGTGGTTGTACTAATTTACTTTCCCATCAACAATGTACAAGGATCCCCTTTTCTTCACATTCTTGCTAGCATTTGTTATTGCCTGACTTTTGGATGAAAACCATTTTAACTGAGGTGAGATGATATCTCATTGCAATTTTTTAAAAAAATAGAGACGGGGTCTTGCCATGTTGTCCAGGTTTTTCACAAACTCCTGGGCTCAAGCAATCCACCTGCCTTTGCCTCCCAGTCTTGTCTGGGATTACAGATGTGAACCACTGTGCTGGCCCATTGCAGTTTTGATCTGAATTTCTCTGAGGATCAGTTATGCTGAGCACCTTTTCATATACTTGTTTGCCATTTATATGTATTCTTCTGAGAAATGTTTCTTCAAATATTTTGCCCATTTTAAATTGGATTATTAGATTTTTTCTTATAGAGTTGTTTGAGCTCCTTATATATTCTGGTTATTAATCCCTTGTCGGATTGTTAGTTTGCAAATATTTTCTCCGCCTGTGCATTGTTTCTTCACTCTACTGATTATTTTCTTTTCTGTGCAGAGGCTTTTTAACTTGATATAACCCCATTTGTCCATTTTTGCTTTGATTGCCTGTGCTTGTAGGATATTACTCAAGAAATTATTTGCCCACTACGATGTCCTGGAGAGTTTCTCTAATGTTTTCTTATAGAGGTTTCATAGTTTGAAGTCTTAGATTGAAGTCTTTCATCCATTTTGATTTGATTTTTTTGTTTGCTTGTTTTGAGACAGTCTTGTTCTGTCACCCAGGCTGGAGTGCAGTGGTGCATTCTTGGCTTACTGCAACCTCCACTTCCTAGGTTCAAATGATTCAGGTGCCTCAGCCTCTCAAATAGCTGGGATTATAGGTGCATGCCACCATGCCCAGCTAATTTTTGTATTTTTAGTGTGGACAGCGTTTTGCCATGTTGGCCAGGCTGGTCTTGAACTCCTGATCTCAAGTGATCCACCCACCTTGGCCTTGCAAAGTGCTAGGATTACAGGCTTGAGCCACCATGCCCGGCTGATTTTATTTTATTTTTTTAATAGCAAGTGATAGGAGTCTAGTTTCATTCTGCTGCATATGGATATCCACTTTTCCCGGCAACATTTATTGAAGAGACTGTCCTTTTCCCAGTGTATGTTCTTGACACCTTTGTTGAAAATGAGTTCACTGTAGATGTATGAATTTGTTTCTGCGTTCTCTATTGTGTTCTATTGGTCTGTGTGTCTGTTTTTATGCCAGTACCATTACTGTTTTGGTTACTATAGCTCTGTAGTCTAGTGTGAAGTAAGGTAATGTGATTACTCCAGTTTTGTTAGTTTTGCTCAGGGTGACTTTGGCTCTTCTGTGTCTTTTGTGGTTTCATATAAATTTTAGGATTTTTTTTTTATTTCTGTGAAGAATGCCATTGGTATTTTGATAGGAATTGTATTGAATCTGTTGATTACTTTGGGTAGTATGTATGGACATTTTAATGATATTGATTCTTCCAATCCATTAACATGGAATATCCTTCCATTTTTTTTGTGTCCTCTTCAATTTTTTTCATCAATGTTTTATAGGTTTCGTTGTAGAGATCTTTCACTTCTTTGGTTAAGTTAATTCCCAAGTATTTAATTTTATTTGTAGCTATAGTAAATGGGGTTATTTTCTTGATTTCCTTTTCAGGCTGTTTGCTGTTGGCGTATAGAAATGCTAATGATTTCCGTATGTTGATTTTGTATCCTGCAACTTTACTGAATTTGTTTATCTGTTCTAATAGTTTTTTGGTGGATGACTTCTTAACAATTTTACATATAAGTGAGATTGTGTAGTATTTGTTTTTCTGTACCATTGTTTTTTATGACTTTGACTATTGAAGATTAATGGTTAGATTTTAGTAGAATGTTCCTCAATTTGGAGTTGTCTGATGTTTTCTCATGATTATCTTGGAATTATAGAGTTTCAGGAAGAATAACACAGAGGTGAAGAGCCCTTCTCTTAACATCATACCAGAAGGTACACGATGGGTGATTTTATTGCAGTTATCCTGTCCCTGCACCACCATTATAAATTGGGTATGGTGAGAGAGAAGATAATTTGTGTTTTTAGATTTTAATTTGTGAGATCATGAGGATCTTCCCCAGATTTGATGGAAAAGCTAGCATATCACTGGATGCTGGATCTTGAGCTGGATGCAATGACTGGATGTCACTTTAGAATGTTTCTCTTGACGAGAGAGTGAGAATGTTCTATATAAGAATGGAAGTGTGAAACAGCTTCTGGTTACCAGAAGGGCAGACCATGGCAGAAATGGACTAGGTTTTCACCATATATATTTCCTCTTCTTGGACACACAGTGAAACAGTGTTTCTTAGCTTTCTTGTATCTATGTGGGGCCATAAGAATAGTTCTTTTCAATAGAATATGATTTGGAATGATTTTTCACTTCCGGTTTCAGATAGTTAAGAGGGAGTGCCTTCTATGCACTCTCCCTCTCACCCTCTCGCCCTCTCATGCCACATGGATGCTGAGGGCTTCCTTGAAACTATGAGTTGAAGGTGGTAGAGCCAGAGACTGCAAAGAGGCCTGTACTTTGAGGACAACTTGGCGAACAGTCCACGCCTATGATATGAGAAAGAAGTAAGCCTTTATTGTGTTAAGACACTGAGATTTGAGGTTTATTTATTTTAACAGCATAGCTCAACCTGTCCTGACTAATACAATATACATACCCATCCTGCAGTATTATATGCCTTAGGTGGTATGGGAACATATGTATTTTTAAAATCTAATCACGTGATTCTGCTTCTCTTTCATCCCTTATTCCCATCAACCCCCTTATTTCTACACATTGGTTCAGTTTAAGAAACATAATACATCAGATCTATTTCAAAGGTCAACTTAGAAGGGAAATGTTTCGATTGAGAGGAAGATGTTAGCTGAGAATGAAAGGCTGTTTTAGATGGCAAGTTCAAAGAAAGGAGACTACTATGAAAAGGTAAAACATCCTCCCTGCCTCCCTCCCTCCCTCCCTCCCTCCCTCCCTCCATTCCTCCCTTCCTTCCTTCCTTCCTTCCTTCCTTCCTTCCTTCCTTCCTTCCTTCCTTCCTTCCTTCCTCCCTCTACTTTGGATTTAATTTTCTCTTCTTTTTCTTGTTTCCTAACTTGGAAGCTTAGATTGTGGATTTTAGGTCTTTCTTCTTTTCTAATGTATGCATTCAATGCTATACATTTCCCTCTAAGCACTGTTTTCACTGCACCTCACTAATTTTGATATGTTGTATCTTTATTTAAAATATTTTAAAAATTCTCTTGAGATATCTTCTGTCACCCATGTATTAGTTGGAATTGTGTTGTTTAGTCTTCAAGTAACTTGGGATTCTCCAGCTATCTTTTTGTTATTGATTTCTAGATTATTCCATCGTGGTCTAAGAGAAGACATTGTATGATTTCTATTCTTTTAAATTTGTTAAAATATTTTTTGTGGCTCAGAATGGGATCTATCTTGGTGAATGTCCCATGTGAGCTTGACAAGAATGTGTAATCCACTGTTGTTGGATGGACTAGTCTATAGAAGTTAATTATATCCAGTTGATTGATAGGGCTGTTGAGTTCAACTACACACTTAATGATTTTCTGCCTGCTGCATCTGCCCATTCTGATAGAGGGGTGTTAAAGTCTTCAACTTTAATGTGGATTCACCTATTTTTCCTAGCAGTTCTATCAGTTTTTTCCTCCACATATGTTGATGTTCTAATTTGTGAACAAATTAAGGATTGTTAAGCCTTCTTGGAGAATTGACCCCCTTCTCATTATGTAATGTCCCTTTTAATCCCTGATAACTTTCCTTGCTCTGAAGTCTGCTCTGTCTGAAATTAATATAGCTGTTGCCACTTTATTTTGATTAGTGTTAGCATGGTATTTCTTTCTCTATTACTTTACTTTTAATCTGTATGTATCTTTATATTTAAAGAGAGTTTCATGTAGGCAACATATAGCTGGGTCTTGTTTTTTGATCCACTTTAACAATCTCTTTTTAAAAATTGGTGTAAACAGACCATTGATGTTTAAGGTGATTATTGATATAGTTGGATTAATATCTACCATATTTGTGACTGTTTTCTACTTGTCACATGTGTTCTCTGTTCCTGTATTGTCTTCCACACTTTTTTTTTGCCTTTGTGGTTTTAATTGAGCATTTTATAAGGTTCATTTTTTCTCCTTTTTTTAGCATGTCAATTATAGTTCTTTTTAAACTTTTAAAAGTGGTTGCCCTAGAGTTTGCAATATACATTTACAATTAGTCCAAATCTGCTTTTAAATAACATGATACTGCTTCATGCATAGTGCAAGTACCTTATAGCAATAAAATATTTCTGATTCTTTCCTCCTATCCCTTGTATCATTGCTGTCATTCATTCACTTATACGTACATACTTATATGTTCCTTGACTTATGACAGGGTTATGTCCTGATAAACCCATCATAGGTCATAAATATTGTGAGTAAAAAATACATTTAATACACTTCACCTACCAAACATTACAGTTTAGCCTAGCCTAAGTGGTTTTCTTTAGGAAACAGTGCTGCTAAAACACAACATGGGAGCAGAAGCAATTTAAAATGTTCAAGACATTAAATGCAGGACTGTGACTCTATGTTGCCATTTAATATGCTTTGTATTGTAGGATATAAAAACTAACCCCCATCTATGGAATGTTAAGCTGATACCCAAGACAGTCAAAAACACTCATAATTCAATATCCCACACTATTTCCTGGTTGTACCAAAAAATAAACAACCCAGCAAATGATTTCACCTCTTAAAAAAAAGCATTTATACTGATATTCACTGTGAAGACCTTGTGGAACTCTTCTACATTAAACTCACAATTGTGTGTGTGTGTGTATGTGTTTATTTTGTGAAGACACCAAATATATATTGTCTTATCCAACAATACTTCTTCAGTTCTCTGGTTCTCCAACACCAACTAGATGTCTGACGATTCAATTCAGTTCTGACACTGACTTCCCAGATTTAGCATCAGGCTCTCCTGGTTTAAGGAGTTGGTGCCACAATATTTCCTTTGCTTCAGGTGTCAGTCACAAGCATTGAGTCACCCGTATTTCTGACTTACTGGCTATAAATTGGGCATTTCCACACTTCCCTCCTCAATGTTAATGATTTGCTAGAATGGCTCACAGAACTCAGAAAACTACATTACTTGGCCATTGCTGATTAACTCAATCTCCAGTTCCTCTCTCCTTCCTGGAGGCTGGGCAAGGCTTAATCTTTCTGGTGATCAGCCCCCATCCTGAAGCTATGTATGGGCTACCAAGAGTTGTCTCATTAAAACAAAAGATGCTCCTATAACCCTTATTACTCAGGAAATTTCAAGGGTTTTGGGACCTCTGTGCCAGAAACTGGTGACAAAGACCAATTTTTTTTTTGGTTATACCATAGCCCCCTATGACTGGGTCCTTCTGGAGTTTTAAAACAACTTTTATTTTAGGTTCAGGGGTGCATGTGAAAGTTTGTTGTATAGGTAAACTCATGTCATGGGGGTTTGATGTACAGATTATTTTATCACCCAGGTAGTAAGCCTAGTACTCAATAGTTTTCTGCTCCTCTTCCTCGTACCACTCTCCACCCTCTGGTAGGCCCCAGTATTTGTTGTTCTGCTCTTTGTGTCCATGTGTTCTCATCATTTAACTCCCACTTCCAAGTGAGAACATGCAGTATTTGGTTTTCTGTTCCTGCATTAATCTCCTAAGGATAATGCCTCCAGCTCCATTCATGTTCCTGCAAAGAACATGATATTCTTTTTTATGGCTGCATAGAATTCCATGGTGTATATGTACCATATTTTCTTTATCCAGTGTACCATTGATGGGAATTTAGGTTGATTGTATGTCTTTGTTATTGTGAATAATAACAAAGTGAATAATAGTGCTGCAGTGAACATATGCATGCATGTGCCTTTAGGATAAAGTGATTTATATTCCTTTGGGAACATATCCTGTAATGGGATTGCTTGGTTGAATGGTAGTTCTGTTTTCAGCTGTTTGAGGAATTGCCACATGGCTTTCCACAATGGTTGAACCAATTTACATGCCTATCAACAGTGTATAAGTGTTCCCCTTTTCTCTGCAACCTTGCCAACATCTGCTATTCTTTGACTTTTTATTAATAGCCATTCTGACTGGTGTGAGGAGGTATCTTGCTGTGGTTTTGATTTGCATTTTTCTAGTGATCAGTGATATTGAGCTTTTTTTTCATATGCTTATGGGCTGCATATATGTCTTCTTTTGAAAAGTTTCTGTTCACATCCTTTGCCCAATTTTTTTATTTTTATTTTTTTAAAGACAGGGTCTGGCTCTGTTGCCCAGGCTGGAGTGCCGTAGTGTGATCTCAGCTCACTGCAATATCTGCTTCCTGAGCTCAGGTGATCCTCCTGCCTCAGCCTCTTGAGTAGCTGGGACTACAGTCACGTACCACCATGCCTGGTTAATTTTTGTGTTTTTAAAAGAGATGGGGTTTTGCCATGTTGCCCAGGCTGGTCTCGAATGCCCTGAGCTCAAGTGATCTGCCTGCCTTGGTCTTCCAAAGTGCTAGGATTACAGGCCTGAGCTACCACTCCCAGCCTCTTTGCCCACCTTTTAATGGGGTTGTCTTTTTCCTTGTAAATTTGTTTAAGTTTCTTATATGTGCTGAATATTAGCCCTTTGTCATATGCATAGTTTGCAGATATTTTCTCCTATTCTGTAGGTTGTCTGTTTACTCTCTTGATAGTTTCTTTTGCTGTGCAGAAGGTCTTAAGTTTAATTAGATCCCATTTGTCAATTTTCGCTTTTGTTGCGATTGCTTTTGGTGTCTTTGTCATGAAATCTTTGCCAGTTCCTATGTCCAGAATGGTATATCCTAGGTTATCTTCTAGGGTTTTTATAGTTTTGGGTTTTACATTTAAATCTTCAACCCATCTTGTGTTGATTTTTGTATATGGTGTAAGGAAGGGGTCCAGTTTCAATCTTCTGCATTTGACTAGCCAGTTATTCCAGCACCATTTATTGAATAGGGAGTCCTTTCCCTGTTGCTTATTTTTGTCAACTTTATTAAATATCTATTGGGGGAACCAGCCCCCAATATTTCAACATAGGTTCTTTTCTATTTTCCCTAAGTGTCAGCCAGTCTGAGAAATAAAGAGAAAGAGTACAAAGAGTAGAATTTTACAGCTGGGCTGCCAGGGGTGACATCACATATTGGCTGGTTCTGTGATGCCCACCTGAGCTGCAAAACCAGCAAGTTTTTATTAGGGATTCTAAAAGGGGAGGGGGTGTATGAACAGGGAGTAAGTAACAAAGATCACATGCTTCAAAGGGTAATAAAAGATCACAAGGCAAAGGCAAAATTAGAATTACTGATGAAGGTCTGTGTCCCACTGTGCATGCATTGTCTTGATAAACATCTTAACAGGAAACAGGGTTTGAGAGCAGACAACCGGTCTGACTAGAATTTACCAGGCTGGAATTTCCCAATCCTGGTAAGCCTGAGGGCACTGCAGGAGACCAGGGCATATTTCAGTCCTTATCTCAACCGCATAAGACAGACACTCCCAGAGCGGCTGTCTATAGACCTACACCCAGGAATGCATTCCTTCCCCAGGGCTATTCCTTGCTGGGAAAAGAATTCAGCGACATTTCTCCTACTTGCACATCCATCTATAGGTTTTCTGCGAGAAGAAAAATATGGCTGTATTCTGCCTGACCCCACAGGCAGTCACACCTTATGTTATCTTTCCTTGTTCTCTGAAAATCGCTGTTATTCTGTTCTTTTTCAGGGTGCACTGATTTCATATTGTTCAAACACACGTATTTTACAATCAATTTGTACAGTTAACATAATCATCACAGGTCCTGAGGTGATGTACATTCTCAGCTTACAAAGATAATGTGGTTAAGAAATTAAAGACATGCATAAGAAATTATAAGAGTATTGATTGGAGAAGTGATAAATGTCCATGAAATCTTCACAATTTATGTTCAGAGATTGCAATAAAGACAGGCATAAGAAATTATAAAAGTATTAATTTTGGGAACTGATAAATGTCCATGAAATCTTCACAATTTATATTCTTCTGCTGTGGTTCCAGCTGGTCCCTCTGTTCGGGGTTCCTGACTTCCCGCAACAAATATCAGACGATTGTAGGTGTGTGCCCTTATTTCCAGGCTCTTTATTCTCTTCCATTGGTCTATGTGTCTGTTTTTGTACCAGTACCATCTATTTTGTTTGCTTTACCCATGTAGTATAGTTTGAAGTCAGGTAGTGTGATGCCTCCTGCTTTGTTCTTTTTGCTTAGGATTGCTTTGCCTATTCGGGCTCTGTTTTGGTTCCATATGAATTTAAAAAATTTTTTTCTAGTTCTGTGAAGAATGTCATTGGTAATTGGAATAGCATTGAATGTGTAAATCACTTTGGGTAGTATGACCATTTTAACAATATTTATTCTTCCTATCCATGTGCATGGAATGTCTTCCGTTTGTTTGTGTCATCTCTGATTTCTTTGAGCAGGGTTTTGTAATTCTTATTGTAGCAATCTCTCACTGGTTAGCTGTATTCCTAGGTATTTTATTTTTGTGTGTGTGGCAATTGTGAATGGGATTGTGTTCCTGGGATTGACTCTAGGCTTGACTATTGTTGGTGTATAAGAATGCTAGTGATTTTTGTACATTGACTTTGTGTCCCAAAGCTTTGCTGAAGTTGCTTATCAGCTCAAGGAGCTTTTGGGCAGAGACTATGGAGTTTTCTAGATATAGAATCCTGTAATCTTCAAACAAGGATAGTATGGCTTCTTCTCTTTCTATTTGGATGCCTTTATTTCTTTCTCTTGCCTTATTTATCTGGCCAGGACTTCCAATACTATGTTGAATAGGAGTGGTGAGACAGATCATCCTTGTCTTGTGCCGATTTTCAAGGGGAATGCTACCAGCTTTTGCCCATTTTGTATGATGTTGGCTGTGGGTGTTTGTCATAAATGGCTCTTACTATGTTGAGGTATGTTTCTTCAATACCTAGTTTTTTGAGAGTTTTTAACATGAAGCAATGTTAAATTTTATCAAAACCCTTCTGTGCATCTAGTGAGATAATAATGTGGTTTTTGTCTTTAGTTCTGTTTATGTGATGAATCATATTTATTGATTTGTGTATGTTGAACCAACCCTGCATCCCAGGGATAAAGTTTTTTGATGATCATGGTGGATTAGTTTTTTGATGTGTTGCTGGATTCTGTTTGTTAGTATTTTGTTGAGAATTTTGCATCAATGTTCATCAAGGATATTGGGCTGAAGTTTTTGTTGTTTTTGTGTCTCTGCCAGGTTCTGGTACCCGGATGATGCTGGCCTCAAAGAATGAATTAGGGAGAGGTTCCTCCTCATTAATTTTTTGGAATAGTTTCAGTAGGAATGGTACCAGCTCTTCTTTGTACATACGGTAGAATTTGGCTGTGAATCTGTCAGGTCCTTGGCTTTTTTTGGTTAGTAAGCTATTTATTACTGATTCAATTTTGGAGCTTGTTTTTGGGCTGTTCAGGCAATCAGCTTCTTCCAAGTTCAGTCTTGGGAGGCTGTATGTATCCAGTAATTTATCCATCACTTCTAGATTTTCTAGTTCGTGTGCGTAGAGGTTTTTATGCTGTTCTTTGCTGGCTATTTGTATTTTTGTGGAGTGGTATTGTTCCCTTTGTTGTTTCTAATTGCATTTGTTTGGATCCTCTATCATTTCTTCTTATTCGTTTAGTTAGCAGTTTATCTATCTTATTAGTTTTTTTCTAAAAACCAACTCGTGGATTCATTGATCTTTTGAATGATCTTTCACATCTCAATCTCCTTCAGTTCAGCTCTGATTTTGATTATTTATTTTCTTCTGCTAGGTTTGATGTTGGTTGGCTCTTGCTTCTCTTGTTCTCTTAGTTGTGATGTTAGGTTGTTAACCTGAGATCTTTCTAACTTTGTGATGTGGGCATTTAGTGCTACAAATTTCCCTCTTAACACTGCTTTAGCTGTGTTCCAAAGATTCTGTTATGTTGTATCTTTGTTCTCATTAGTTTCAAAACATGTCTTGATTTCTGCCTTAATTTCATTAGCTACCCAATAGTCATTCAGGAGCAGGTTGTTTAATTTCCATGTAATTGTATGGTTTTGAGCAATTTTCTCAATCCTGATTTCCAATTTTATTGCACTGTGGTCTGAAAGAGTGGTTGGTATGATTTTGATTCTTTTGTATTTGCTGAGTAGTGTTTTATGTTTGATTGTGTGGTCAATTTTAGGTTATGTGCCATGTCACAATAGGAATAACTTATATTTTGTTGTTTTTGGGTGGAGAGTTTCTGTAGATGTCTATCAGGTCCATTGGTACAGTATTAAGTTCAGGTCCTGAATATCTTTGTTAATTTTCTGCCTTAATAATCTGTCTAATAATGTCAGTGGAGTTTTGAGGCCTCCGACTATTATTGTGTGGGAGTCAAAGTCCTCTTTGAAGGTCTCTAAGAACTTGCTTTATGAGTCTGGGTGCTCCTGTGTTAGGTACATATATATTTAAGATAGTTAGGTCTTTTTGTTGAATTGAACCCTTTGCCATTATATAATGCCCTTCTTTCCCTTTTTTTGATCTTTTTCGTTTAAACTCTACTTTGTCTGAATTTAGAATTGCAACCCTTGCTTTTTTCTATTTTCCATTTGCTTGGTAGATTGTTCTCCATCTCTCTGTTTTGAGCCTGTGAGTGTCATTGCTTGTGAGATAGGTCCCTTAAAGACAACATGCCATTAAGTCTTTCTTCTTTATCCAGCTTGCTACTTTTTGCCTTTTAAATGGGGCATTTAGCCCATTTATATTCAAGGTTGGTATTGATATGTGTGGAGTTGATCCTGTCATTGTGTTGTTAGCTGGTTATTATGCTGGCTTGTTTGTATGGTTGCTTTATAGTCTCACCGATCTGTATACTTCAGTGTGTTATTGTAGTGGCTGGTAATGGTCTTTCCTTTCCACAGTGCTTCTTTCAGGAGCTCTTGTAAGGCAGGTCTGGTGGTAACGAATTCCCTCAGCATTAGCTTATTTGAGAAAGATCTTATTTCTCCTTCACTTACGAAGCTTAGTTTGGCCAGATGTAAAATTATTGGTTGGAATTTCTTTTCTTTTCTTTTTTCTTTTTTTTCTTTTTTTTGAGATGGAATCTTGCCCTGTTGCCCAGGCTAGAGTGCAGTGGCACGATCTCAGCTCACTGCAACCTCTGCCCCCTGGGTTCAAGCCATTCTCCTGCCTCAGCCTCCCTAGTAGCTGGAACTACAGGTGCCCACCACCATGCGTGGCTAATTTTTGTAATTTTAGTAGAGGCGGGGTTTCACCATGTTGGCCAGGCTGGTCTTGAACTCCTGACCTCAAATGATCCACCCACCTTGGCCTCCCAAAGTTCTGAGATTATAGGCGTGAGCCACTGTGCCTGGCTGGAATTTCTTTTCTTTAAGAATGTTGACTTTAAGAAAGTCTTCTGGCTTGTAGGGTTTCTGCTGAGAAGTCTGCTGTTAGTCTGATGGGCTTCCCTTTGTAGATGACCATGCTTTTCTCTCTAGTTGCCTTTAACATTTTTTCTTTTATTTCAACCTTGGAGAATCTGATGATTATGCCTTGGGGATGATCTTCTTGTGAAATATTTTGTGTGGGTTCTCTGCATTTCCTGAATTTGAATATTGGCCTCTCTAGCTAGGTTAGGGAAGTTCTGATGCATGATATCCTGAAATTCTCCCCATCTCTTTCAGGGAGACCAGTGAGTCACTGATTCAGTCTCTTTACATAATTCCATATTTCCTTTCCCCATTGCTTGTTTTTGTCAGGTTTGTTGAAGATCAGATGGTTGTAGATGTACAGTTATATTTCTGAGTTCTCTATTCCGTTCCATTGGTCTATGTGTCTGTTTTTGTACCAGTACTATCATGTTTTGGTTACTGTAGCCTTGTAGTATAGTTTGAAGTCCAGTAGTGTGATCCCTCCACCTTTGTTCCTTTTGCTTAGGATTGTCTTGGCTATATGAGCTCTTTTTTGGTTCTATATGAATTTTAAAATAGTTTCTTCTAAGTCTTTTTTTTTTCTTTTATCCTATTTGATGACCTTGGGGGTTTGATTGTGGTATAAGGTGGATTCAGTTATCTGACTTCATTTTTAGAAGATTTTATGGAGTCAAGGCTCAGGATAGGACTCCTGGCCCACATGCTCTAACTCTGGGGGACTGATATGGAGCTCTCACTTTGTTCGCTGACTCCTTGAGGTTTGGAACTTGCTGTTCTAGAAGGGCCAAGGGTGCTTCCAGACTGCTGGTCACAACACTTTGGTGGGTGTTGCCAGCCAATGTACTTCATAGGGCAGTGGCATCAGGATCCTTCCTAGTTCACATGTGCCAGTAGCAGCTGCAGCTGCAGTGTGGTGGGGTGTATACTCCTTGGCTGCAGCAGGGTGCTAGTGTGTGCTAGGTTGTCAGCCTCCATGCAGGCATTTGCAGCAGCCACTGGCGTTGACAGCATGGTGGCTTGTGGGTATTGCTGGGGCAAGGGTGGGGCCACCAGCAAAATGTGTGTGTTTGTTCGTGCATGTGATAGTGTTAGCATGGGGGTGGGGTGCTAACTGGCACAGGACTGTGTGACTCCTCTGTGTGTTCTCCTGTGGGCAGTGGTGGCCGCTTAGGGTGGGGGTGGATCAGTTTTTCTCTGTGCCTAGTTTTGCACCATGGCAGTTTTAAAGCAGGGGTGGGGTGCTGGTGGAGGTGGGGCTGGCGGGCTGTATGCCTGCCAACTCTCTGATGACAGCGGTGGTGTGGCGGGGGTGCTGGTGGGGACTGGGATGGTGTGCACTCACAGTGGCAGCAGTGGCATGGCAGGGTGCACGTGCACATGCATGCTGGTTGGGGAGGAAAGGCCGGGCCTGCCTCTGCACACACATGCTGGCAAAGCGATGCAGGGGTGTGGCCGTGGGCCAGTGTGTGCAGGCAAGCAGCACACAGGAGGTCACCAACTGTTGCGTGTTCACTGGGACCCGCTCTGCTGGTCAGGGGCACTACACCATCCTCAGGAGCTATGATGTGAACCCCAGGAGGTACCTGGGGGCTGCATGGCAAGCAGGTACAGCCAGATTGGGGCTTCAGGAGAGGCCAGCAGATGAGGGGTGCTCAGGTTGGACTGGCCCTGTCTCATGGGCCAGATCACCCAGCAGGGTTCAGGTCCAACAGTTCCCCTAGGGCTAAAGTCTCCTATGGGAGCAAGTCAAGCCTAGGGGGATGGGCAACCCTGGCAATGCTCCACTGTAGACACTTGTGCTCCAAACCCTCTGGGTTCCACTTTATCTGGAGTTCTGCCCCTACCACTTCTCTGGGCAGCTCTCCCTGCCAATTCAAGTTTCTGTGGTGATCAAGGGGTCTCCCCCTGCCAGGATTCCAGAGCCCATGGTGAGAGTGGGTTGCCCTTTGCCTGTTCAACTCACCCCTTTCCCTGGAGTCACTGGGGGCCAGGAATGAGTCCAGTGCATGGTAGCCCCAAGCACGGTTCCCAGCTTCCTCCCCTTTCAGCCCAGCATCTGTCTCCTCTTCGTCCTCTCTCAATGCCTTCCCTCTGAAGATCTGCTAGGAGTGCACCAGTCTTCCTGATGCCCTGGACCCTCCATGGGAGATGTTCCTCCTGACTGTCTAGTTGGCCATCTTGCCCCCTGAATCCCTCCCTGGAGTTTTGAACTCTCAGAGCCTCCTGCAATTAATTCACGCTGAATCACAAGCAATTAGGCAATTACAGTTCAGGTTTTCCTACCCTGGCACTGGTTCCCTTGGAGGTTTCTGCTTTAGATTTCTGCTCTGGTAAGTTGTGATTCTCTGTATCCACTTGTCTGTCTCTCCAATTTTTGGAGCAGTGGTTTGCCCTGTGGCCTCACTTTTCTGATGGATCTATGAAGAATTGTTGATTTTTCAGTTTGTTCTAGTTTTTACTTGTTAGGGTTGAGTTACGACTTCTAAGATCCTTAACTGTCAGCCAAAATTGAAAGTGTTGGGGAGATGTTTTAAAATGATGATTCTTAAACAGTTAATAAATACAATTTTTAATTGGTGGTTAATAAACCAATATCTTGCTCATAATATAAGTGAATGAATGAATCAATATTTTTGCATCAGTTGTGATAATTTGTTGCAGATTTCATGTCTTTCACTACATTGTAGTATCCAGAGTGCCATTGCCATGTTTTGATCAGCTTTATGTTCCAATGTATTTAGAATTGTGCCTGGCATTTCGGACCCCGAAAAAATATTGATTGAACATATTGTGAGACTGAGAAAGGGGATTAAAAAATAGTTGCAAAGTAAGAAGAGAACAGTTCATTCAAGAGATTTTTATTGAGTGCCTACTATGTGCCAAGCACTTGTCTAGGTACTAGTGGTAAAGTAGTCACAAAACAAAGATTCCTATTCCCATAGAGCAAATATTCCAACAGGAGAAGGGAAAATAATTAAACTTAACAAATAGGTTAATTATATAGTATATTAGAAAGTGGTAAGTGCTAAGGTCAAGAGAAAAAAGTACAGTGGGAAAAGGGAAATTGGAATGCTGGAGTTGGTAAGATTGGGGTTGCTTAGATTAGGCCTTATTGAGAAGGTTATTGGTTATTCAAAGCCCAAGAAACAGCTTCTACAAAGGTCCTGAGGCAAGATCATGTCTCAAATGTTTGAGGAACAGCAAGGGGGCTCATGTGGCATTAGAGAGTTAATGAGAGGGAGAAGAAGATTAGATTATGTAGATAATTGTAAGAATAGTATGTTCTTTCCTCCCATATATGTTGAGTTTGCTTTGTTAAAAGGTCTATTTCTGGACTTTATATACTGTTACATTCATCTACTTGTCTATCTTTATGCCACTACCATACTACCTTACTTATTGTAGCTTTTCATTGAGTCTTGAAATCAGGTAGTGTTAGTTCCCAAATTTGTTCTTCTTTTTCAGTTGTTTTGGCTATTCTAGGACCTTTGTATTTCCAATACGAATTTTAGAATCACCTTGTCAATTTCTACAAAAATGCCTGCTGGGAATTTATGAGAATTGTTATCTTAACAATATTGAACTGTCTGACGCAGATATGAGTGTATTTCTCTGTTTATTTGGGTCTTCGTTAATATCTCTCAGCAATGTTATTTAGTTTTTAGTGCACTAGTCTTTCCCAAGTTTGGTCAGATTTATTCCTATGTATTTCATATTTTTTGATGGTATTGTTTTTTAAGTTTCAGTTTCCAATGGCTTTTTGCTATTATATAGAAACAATTGATTTTTGCATATTGCTGTTGAATACTACAACTTGTTTGTAGTTGTAAAACTCAAGCTTGCTAAATTCATCCATTGTATTAGCTTTTAAAAAATATATTGGGTTTTTTACATAGACGATCACATCATCTACAAATAGACAGTTTTACCTCTTTCTTTCCAACCTGTATGCCTTTAATTTTGTTTATCTTATCTGCTTGCAGTGTCTAGAAACTTCAGTATTATGTTGAATAAGAGTGGTGAGAACAGATGTCCTTATCTTGTTCCTGATCTTAGAGGGAAAGCACTCAATCTTTCACCATTGAGTATGACATTAACTAAGTTTTTTGGTAGTACCCTTTATCAATTGAGGACACTTTCTTCTTATCCTATGTTGCGGAGAGTTTTTATCAGAAATGAAATTTGGTTTTTGTCAATAGCTTTTTCTGTCGAAGATGATCATGTGATTTTTCTATTTTAGGTAGCTAATTGTATCAGTCAGGGTTTTCTAGAGGGACAGAATTAATAGGATAGACGTATATGTAAAGGGAAGTTTATCAAGGAGTACTGACTCACGCAATCACAAGGTGAAGTTCCACAATAGGCCATCTGCAAGCTGAGGAGCAAGGAAGCCAGTACAAATCCCAAAATCTCAAAAGTAGGGAAGCCAGCAGTACAGTCTTCATTCTGTGGCTGAAGGCCCGAGAGCCCCTGGCAAACCACTGGTGTAAGTCCAAGAGTCCAAAAGCTGAAGAACTTGGAGTCCAATGTTTGAGGGCAGGAAGCATCCAGCATGTGAGAAAGATGAGAGCCAGAAGACTCAGCTAGTCTGTTCTTCCATCTTCTCCTGCCTGCTTTATTCTAGCCGCACTGGCAGCTGATTAAATGGTGCCCACCTAGAATGAGGTTGGGTCTGCCTCTCCCAGTCCACTGATTCAAATGTTAATTTCCTTTGGCAACACCCTCACAGACACACCCAGGAACAATACTTTGCATCCTTCAATTCAATCAAATTGACACTCAGTATTAACCACAACACTAATATAGTGAATTATATTGATTGATTTTTGAATCAATTGCTTTCCTGGGAGAAACCCCACTTGGTCATAGTACATTACCCCTTTTATATATTATATATTGGAGTTTTAAAATTTTGCTTAGAATGTTTGCATATATGTTTAAAAGAGGTTGATCTACAGTTTTCTTGTAATGTCTGGTTTTAGTATTAGGGTAATGCTGGCCTCATAGAATGAGGTTAGAGAAGTATTTCTTCATTTACAATTTATTGGAAGAGTTTGTGTAGAATTGGTATTATTTCTACCTTAACTTTACTAGTGAAGATATCTGGGTCTAGAGATTTTTTTGTGGTGGGAAGGTATTTAAATACCAATTACATTTCTTTGATAGATATCAGGTAATTTATCAAATCTACCAAAGTTCTTCTTGAGTGAACTGTGATAAATTGACAAACAAGGAATTTGTCCATTTGACCTATGTTGTCTTGTTTTTGGACACAAAGTTGTTCACTTTGTATTCCATTGTTATCCTTTTAATTCTAGAGCATTTGCGATGATGCCACATCTTTCATTTTTATAATTAGCAATTGGCGTGTTCTCTCTTTTTTCCTGATTAGTATAACTAGAGGTTTATTAATTTTATTGAACCTGTCAAAGAGCCAACTTTTGGTTTCATTAATTTTCTCTATTGGTTCTATCTATTCCTTTGATTTCTGCTTTAATCTTTATTATTTCATTTCTTCTGATGATTTTCAGTTTAATTTGCTCTTCTTTCTCTAGTTTCATTGGTGGAAGCTGAGGTCATTGATATGAGAACTTCACTTTTTTTCCATTCCAGACATTTAATACTATAAAAATTTCCCGAAGTACTGTGTTAGCAGCATCTCACAAATTCTAATATGTTGAATTTTAGTTTTCACATTTGGTTCAAAATATCTTTGGTTTTCCTCTTTGATTTTTTGCTTTGACTAATGGATTATTTAGAAGTGTGTCTTTAGTGTTCAAATATTTAAGAATTTTCCAGATAACTTTTTTTTTTTTTTTTTTTTAGATGGGGCCTCACTCTGTCACCCAGGCTAGAGTGCAGTGGTGCGATCACAGCTCACTGCAGCCTCAACTACCCGGGCTCAAGTGATCCTCCTGCCTCAGCCCCACAAGTAGCTGGGACCACAGGTGCGTGCCACAATGCCTGGCTAATTTTAAAAAATTATTTGTACTGACAAAGTCTTGCTATGTTGCCCAGGATGGTCTCAAACTCCTGACCTCAAGTGATCCTCCCACCTCAGATTCTCAAAGTGCTGGGATTACAGGTGTGAGCCACTATGCCTGGCCCAGATAACTTTCAGTTATTGATTTCTCATTTAATTCTTTGTTGTCACAGAATGTATTCTGTATGACTTGAATGCATTTAAATTTGAGTCTTGTTTCATGGCCTTTCTTGGTTTATGTGTATAATTAAAGATAATATGTATTTTGCTGCTGTTGGTTGGGGTGTTCTATGAATGTCAATAAGTTCAATTTGGTTGATAGTGTTATACAAATCTACTATATCTTTACTGATTTTCCTTTTACTTGCTTTATCAATTATTGAGAGATGGGTATTGAAATATCTGACCATAATAGTGTATTTGTATATTTCTCTTTGCAGCTTTATCATTTTTTGCTTAATGTATTTTGAAGCTCTGCTATTAAGTATGCAAACATTTAGATTGCTATGCCTTCTTGATAAATTGACACTTTCATCATTATGAAATGTCCTTTTTTATTTCTGACAATATTTTTGCTCTGAAATCTATTGTGTCTGATACTAGTATAGCCCTCCTAATTATTTTTTCTGGTCTAGTGTTCTGTTTCCATTTGTGATGGCTAATTTTATGTGTCAATTTGGCTAGGCTATGGTGCCCAGTTATTTGATCAAACACTAGTCTAGATGGTGCTGTGAAGGTACTTTTTAGATATGATTAACATATACATCAGTTGACTTTAAGTAAAGCAGATTACCCTCCATAATATAGGTGAGCTTCATCCAATCAGCTGAAGATGTTAAAAGCAAAAACTGAAGTTTCCTAAAGAAGAAGGAATTCTGCCTCAAGACTGTATCATAGAAATCTTTCCTGAATTTTCAGCCTGCTGGCCTGCTCTATGGATTTTGAACTTGCCATCCCCCACAATCATGTGAGCCAATTCCTTAATATCAATCTCTCTATGTATATATGTATACATACAAATGTATATATTATATATATAATCATTTATATCTTATTTTTTGACACACCGTCTTTTTACTTTTAAGCTGTTAGTCTCTTTATATTTCAGTTGCATTACTTGTAGGCAGAAATAGTTGGGTCTTGTTTTTTAATCCAATCTGACAAGCTCTGCCTTTTAATTGGGGTGTTTAGAACGTTTACATTTAATGTGCATATTGGTATGGTTGAATTTGTTTGTAATTTTGCTATTTTTCTATTTGTCCCATCTATTCTTTATTTTTCTTTCCCTCTTTTCCTGCCTTCTTTTATATTAATTATTTTCTACAATTTCATTTGATATCTTTTTTGAAATTTTAGCTACAACTGTTAATTTTGCTATTTTAATACTTGCTTTACTGATTATAGTATAATATGTTCCTTCTTAATATCTTATACTGGTAGTGAGTTTCTCAGGAGTTTGTAGCTGCCCAGTCTTGAAGTATAAGCCTCAGGATACTACATATACTAACAAACTGGCAGAGTTTGTGAGTAAACAAGAGACATCAATGGAAGAAATGTGTAATTACAACTTTTTTGGGGAAGAAAAAGAATAAGGACTTTGAATATTGAGGAATTCAGGTACTAGGTGCAGAAGATGAAAAAATGAGAAAGACCCAGCTGCAAATGTAGGAAGTTACTAATACAGTGGAAGATGCTTAAATGAAAGCAAGTAATTATAAATCAATATGGCAAATATCATTATAAACCAAGTGTCTCTTATATAGTCCCATTGACAAAAATACTCAACTCTCCATGCTCTCTGACTCTATAATACCATTGGAAACATGCTCCTAAAGGTTTTCCAGAAATCCCAAGTGTGCTATTCCTTTCTAGGAGTCAGTGGGTAATGTAGTTTGCTCCTAGGATCACAAGTGATTGCATCAGGATTTGTCTCCTGGCCTTATCTGAGGCAAAAATATTTTTTCTTTTAGTAACTGGGGTACAGTATATCTAGGTATTTAGACACTATGCTAGGAAGAACATTTATGGGCAATTGAGGCAGCCATTTCCAGTATGTGTACAATAATCTGAAAAAACAGGTCTGCACAGGGACCTACCCTTGTCTTATAACATTGCCTAAGACCTCTAGTGGAAGTAGTAGTAGTAGTAGTAGTGATCATTCTTCTTGGTCATGACATTAAAATAAATGTTTTTACTGTGTCACCTAGTTTCTGGTGAATATCTTTAATCAATTTAACACTGAAAAATCAATTATAAATGTAGAATTTTGTTAAATAACTTTAAAAAATATGTTGAGGTGATCAAATGGCCTTCTTTGCATATATGTTTTGCTTAAAATTAGTGTATTGTTTTCTTTCTGTATTATCCTTATTCGATATTGGAATAAGAATTATCCTACCTTCTTTGAAAGAGATGGGACAATTTCTCCTTTAACATGCTCTGTAAATCTTTCTTGGCTTAGTGGTTTGTTTTAGTAGTAAATATTTTAGTACTTTACGTGATTTTATATGGTTATTATTTTACTAAGTTTTCAAAACATTTCAAAAATATTATCTATGCCTTTCTTTAAATGTCTTTGTTGAGATACAACTCGGGTATCATAAAATTCGCCTATATAAATAATACAATTTAATGGTTTTAGTATATTCAGAGTTGTACACTGTCATGGGTTGAATAGTGTCTCCCTAAAAGATCCATCTAGAATCTCAGAATATGACCTTATTTGGAGTAAGGGCCTTTGCAAATGTAACTAAGATAAGGATCTTAAGATGAGATCACCCTGGGCCAGGCTCTGCTTCTAGTTAGCCCACCTACAGCTTCCTCACATGGATAGCCTTTAATCAGGGGAGCTTCTGAGTCCTTGCCAGAGTGCAAGTGATGGTGGCAGACTCCCTTGCTCTAACAAGCCCTGAATAAATAGACCTTGCCTGTTTTCATTTGGTTGATCTTTATTTATTTCCACAGAAGTGTGTGTGTGTCTGAATGCCACTCCTGAATAGAAATGTACTAAAGTCATCGTTGATAATTATGTGGAATTTGTAGATTCTGTCTAAAGAGATAATGAGTGAAGGTTAAATAAAGAGATAAAATATAAGATATATTTTGTACAATTATAATTATTTTATCAGATATTTTCAGCTGCAAATTACTGGGAAAAAAACCTCAGTTTAAAAAATGAGTGGTTTTTTTCCTTCATAAGAGGGCCTGCTTCTTCCAGTGTGCTCTTTTTCAGATCAGTGAGGAAAACCTTCCTCCTTATATCTTCTTCTTCTTCTGTTTCAGTTGGTCAGAAGGGTGTAGACTGGGAAAAGAAACGGGACCATCCTGCTTGACTTAAACCAATAATGAGTTATGCCTCTGGCGCTGGAAGAAAAGGTCCAATTTACAGTAGCAGCAAATACGATAAAATACTCAGAAATAAATTTAACAAGAAATGTAGAAGCCTCATAAAAAGAAAAATTTTAAAAGCTGTGGAGGGAAACAAAAGAAGACTTGGACAAATGGAAAGGCATACTTTGTTCTTAGACATAAAGACTCAATTTCACAAAGATATAAATTTTGTATATAATCTATAAATTTAATGTAACTTCAAAGCAAATGCTAAAAGAATTCTTAACACTAGCAAAGAGATTCTAATGATTAGATGGGAAAAAAGACATGAAAGAATAACCAGAAAAAATTCTAAAATTCAAAAACTATCTTTTTCTGTAAGAGGGGTAGTCATCAGTACAGAGAATCAGTTGTCCCTTCACTGGACAGAATTTGCATGACTGTGGAAAATATCATTTGCCTTGCTCTTGGTTATCTATAATTTATGGAGTAAAACAGCTCAAAGACATGGAAAGGCTGAGATAACCTGGATAAGTGAGCTAGACAAACATCCACTATCTTTTTTTGTCCATTTCCAAGCATTCATGATTTTTTCTGACAGTATCCCCTGACCCCTGCCTTGTGATCATAATAATTATAAAAAAAGAGAGAAAAGATTATTTTGTGATTGAACTAAGCCTGACATTAGATTTGACTTGATTATTAATTATGCATGAAAGAAGAATGTTAATTTACTGCTTAGGTCTCTTTAAATTTGCTTTACCAAATCAAGAGCCATACAGTATTGAAGCATGATAAAATTAAGTTCTTTTTGGAAGTTCTTAAAAGGAATATTACATTGGGCTTTTCTTTTCCTTTTTCTTTGAAACGGCGTCTCGCCCAGGCTGGAGTGCAGTGGCACGATCTCGACTCACTGCAACATCTGCCTCCTGGGTTCAAGCGATTCTCCTGCCTCAACCTCCCAAGTAGCTGGGATTACAGGCATCCACCACCATGCCCAGCTAATTTTTGTATTTTAGTAGAGATGGGGTTTCGCCATGTTGGCCAGGCTGGTTTTGAACTCCTGACCTCAGGTGATCTGCCCACCTAGGCCTCGCAAAATGCTGGGATTACAGGGGTGAGCCACCATGCCCAGCCCTCACATTGGGCTTTTAAAAACTTCTTTTGTTTGTGATATTGAAGCTAGGAAAGCAAACCCAACAAACCCTACCAGATATCACCTGTAGTATCTACAAATGTGTGGGAATTTCTCTCTTCTTGAGGTACCCCCAATACCCTAAATCTTCTGGTCAGCCAGGAAGAGACCTTCTTCACAGCTGTAAGGCCAGGGTACCCTGTAAGCCAGGGAATAGCTAGTTTTCCTAAGAAAGTTTTGTAAGGCACTAAGTTTCTGAGTTTCTGAATATATTCTTAATATATTTCTGGGTTTTTAATATATTTTTGAGTTTTTGTGAGGGTAATTTATTTAAGTTTAGCACATTTAAAGCATTTGAAGTTCATTTTTCTTTTTCTTTCTTTCTTTTTTTTTTTTTTGAGACAGGGTTTTGCTCTGTTGCCCAGGCTGCAGTGCAGTGGTGTAATCTTGGCTCACTGCAACGTCTGCCTCCTGGGTTCAAGCAATTCCCATGCCTCAGCCACCGAGTAGCTGGGATTATAGGCGTGTACCACTATGCCTGGCTAAGTTTTACATTTTTAGTAGAGACGAGGTTTCACCATATTGGCCAGGGTGGTCTTGAACTCCTGACCTCATGTGATCTGTCTGCCTTGGCCTCCCAAAGTGCTGGGATGAAGTGCACTTTTCTGATTTTCTGATTCTTGGGAATATCCCATCTATATAAGCACTTATCTGTCTCTTACGTAAATCCATCCAAAAAACACCCCTTTAATTTAAGAGACTTCGTAATGTAATTTTTTGATACCCCTGGGAGATAGGAAAACATCCAGTTACAAAGAAAGGTACAATCTTTTGAGAGTTATGACACATAGATATACATATACATAGTGAGCTTAAAGCTTCAGTTCTATGTTAGCCACAGGTCAAGAGTTGATACAGAAATACCAAAACACCCTGAAGTAGACATCAAAAAGCTGTTCCCCTTCCTGGTGAGCTTGAAATTCTTGATTGGTTTGGCTCAAAAAAGACAAATAGATAAACAAAAAAGACGAATCAAATTATACATGTTCACTTCACTCAAGGGAAAAATAGATAAGGCCAGGTACAGTGGCAGGCACCTATAGTCCCAGGCTTGATGGTTGCTAGAGCCCAGGAGTTTGAGGTCAGCCTGGGCAACATAGTGAGACCCTCTGAAAAAAAAAAAAAAAGAAAACAGATATCTATAATCTATTAACCTAGTTTTGGAGACCACCAAATGGTCATACATTAAAATCAATTTCCTAATCTTTTCTGACACCAATGGGAAATAATTTATTAACCATAAATGAAACAGACATACATAAACACACAGACAGTAGAAAGGAAGATAAACCAGAGAAATGGAGAGTTAGCAAACTTAAACTTCTTTTGTCACTTGGCGTTTATCTCCAGGAGCTAAGAAAATATGTGCCTGGTCTCAAGCCACTTACTGGATACACTTTCCTGGCAATGTAGTTTACTTGCCTCTGTCAGGTGAATTCATTGGGCATTTTGGTAGAAGATCTCCAAAAAGATACTTTTTAAAAAAGGTAAAATTATGACTCCAATACACACGTAAAATGAACAAGTGTCTGAGATTTTACTTAACCCATTTATTAATGAAGGAGCCAGTAAGATATCACAAGCAGTTTCTTATTTTCAGTAATTAAAATATGATATATAAAGCCATTGTCATATAATGATATAAAGCCACTGTCATATAAAAAGCCATTGTCAAATGATATTATAAAGCCATTGTCTATGATATTATAAAGCCATTGTCATAGGCAAAAAATGGTAAGAAAAAATATTGTAGAGGTATGTCAGGCAGTTAATTACTAAAAACATTTATAATATAATGACGTTATGGTATTTGTTAACTTAAAAGTTTTTTTGCATTGTTACTTTTTATGAATACAAAATTTTGTATTCATAATTTTATATTATTTTATTTTAATAATCCTTCTCCCTAAATTGTATAAGCTTCAGTCTTCACAAAACCTCCTAACAAGAGGCAAGGCCGTCTGTGGAGGTGGAGGTGGAGGTAGAGGTGGGGGTGAAAGGGAGTATGGTGCGGGTTCCTGTTTCAGGATTTAGAGAGTGGAAAAAGTTTGGAGTAATGATTGTAGAACTAGGCTGGAGAGTCAACCAAGGAAAAGAGTAAAGTGGAGGAGAGCTGTCAGGGGGTCTAGCTGAGGTTGAGTAGTGCATCTTCTTTTTTTTTTTTTTTTTTTGAGATGGAGTCTCATTTTGTCACCCAGGCTGGAGTGCAATGACGTGATCTTGGCTCACTGCAACCTCTGCTTCCCGGGTTCAAGTGATTCTCCTGCCTCAGCCTCCCGAGTAGCTGGAATTACAGGCATGTGCCATCATGCCCAGCTAATTTTTGTATTTTTAGTAGAGATGGGGTTTCACCATGTTAGCCAGGCTGGTCTCGAACTCCTGACCTCAAGTGATCTGCCCACCTCGGCCTTCTAAAGTGCTGGGATTACAGGATTGAGCCACCTGGCCTGCATCTTCATTTCTGATGTGAAGAACATGGGGCAGGGACTCTCTCCTAAATAGCATGGTACCATTTAGATTTTGGGTGAGCAGTGAAGATCAGTGTCAGATTCAAGATTTTAAAAATGGATCTGACAGGTAAGGGAATAGCTAACATCTCTGGCAGAATCTCATTAACCCTTTGATGACTTGCTAACATGTGATGTCACTTTTCATTGGGCCTTTGCCTCCTCCACCACTGATTTATCTCTTGTTAACATGCCTGCCCTTATGGTGTTGAGATTCACACACATGTATGCATAGCCTCCTCCATGGGGTCAGATCTCTTTTCCCTCTTGGGATGGTGTGAAGGCAGACTTACGATCTTGCCTCAATTAGCGTTCTTAATGCAATCTCAGTAGTTGGGGAAGCTTCTCTTTACTTGGGCGGTATTTCATTAAATGTTTGGCCGCAGAGCTGAAGTGTGGATGCTGGTGAGTGGAGAGGAAACAGAGTGTGGCCTGGCCTTTGCTTTGGAGCAGGTCTTTCCCTAACGTCTAGGAAACTTAACACTGTGGATGGCCAAGTGGATAAGTAGTCTCTGAAATCAGTGGGGAGCTGCTGCTTCAACAGTGCAGCCAATGAATACTGATGGCTGAACTCACAATTCACCCTGTTACTAATGCATCACTCGATAAGGTAAACTGACTATTTAGGATGGCTGGGGTACAGGAGAAATTATATAAATGTTGATTAATTTGAGGCTTCCTTCCAATTCTCTTTGTAATATCTTGTTGTTTTCTTTACTAGCGAGTTCAGAACATAAGCTCCTCTTCAAAGTAAACACAGGCACATGAAAACTTGACAGAAAAGGAGTGGAGGATGTGAACTGGATAGATATGGGATAAAGTAATAAAAGGTAGTTAACATTTAGTCAGTGGTTAATGTGTGCCAGACATTGTAATAACTTACATATCCAATTACTATCTATCTATTGCCACTAAATTTTCACAATAGCATAAGGCAGATACTATTTTATCTCCATTTTATACAAGAGAAAACTGAGTCTTAGAGAAACTTAATTGCTTGTCAGTGTCACACAGTTAGTAAGTGTCAGAGCCAGGATGCAAACCTATGTCTGAACTCTGAATCCCATGCTTTTTATGAGATGCTGAGAGCTCAGTAGATAAAGGTGAGAGTGGGTGGTTATGGATAGAGAACAGTAGGAGGTTTGAGAAAGAATAAGTTGTCATCACAGGGGTAAGCAACAGGTATCTCTTCTGGTGACAGTTTGAAATTACATTGCAAGTAATTTGTGCTACTAATAATTTGTTGTTACTAATAATGGAATATTTGTGAGTGACTTACATAAAAATAAATTGGAGAAAATTTAATATCACTCTTACCTGGATTCTCATGTGTTTCTCTTTAAGTGAGAGGGAAGGAAGTTGAGTTACAGATGGTTAACTCCCACTTGTATGTCCCGTGCTGGTGAAGTAATACCAGGTGTACATCAACTGTTATGGGAATGAGGTGGAAACAAGGTAAGAATCACCAGACTGAGGATGTTATGCATGGAGGATGTTGCAACTCTCATGAATGTTGCTCTCAAATCTCTTCTCCTTTGGCTCCTAGGGTCTTTGAATAGAGGTGGGGGGAGCAAACCTCTGCTAAAGTAGACACAGAGATCAGAAGCAACGAAGTCAAAGCTGCTTCCCACCAAGCTGTGTGGTCCCAGGCAAGTCACAACTTTTTTCAGCCTTAGTTCCTCTATCTGTAAAATGCAGGGTGTATATGTGGTATACATTTTTGACAGGCTTATTGTGAGAATTAAATGAGATTGTTCATTTAGCTGTGATTACCATTTTGAGAGATTTGATAGCAAGCAAAACCTCTAGTCTTGGTGGGCCGAAGGCCCTCGAAGATGGCATCCTAACAGCAAATTGAAGCCTGTAACTCCTAAGACTTCCACTGTCCCTCCCACGTACACGCTCAGTGACCCCACCACCCCCTCTACTGACAAAGACCCTGCCTCTCAAGTGCTTGAACACACCAATCTCCAAACAAAAACTATTAGGAAAACTTTTAGAGGAGTGAAGACCCCTGATAGGAGTGGGCCCATTGTTGGTAACATGTTGTTGGGATGCTTGAGAATTAGTTCTGAAAGTCATTACTTTTCCCCTAAATGGAATTTTTCCTGGAAGGCCATAAAAATAGAAGAGATTAAAATTTTTACTAGGTTGATCAGGTTACGCACATCCTCTGGCTCAATACATCACAAACAAGAAAACAATGAAAAGCATTTATACAGAGTCTTTTTAGCCAGGGGTCACCTCAACATATCATAAAACATTAGTTCATGACAAGTGAGAGATTGGAATCAGCTGTGCCCATAAACTAGTGCTCATTTGCAGCCTGTACTTTCAGGGCAGGAGAAAACTTGAACGGCATGTGGGGTTGTATAAATAGGCCTTGTGAATCAGCAAGAACATACTCCCAGCCCAGCCTCTCCCTCCAGACTACTTGGCTGTTCCAGTGCCCTCCTACCAAGGAAAATTGGATTTTAGTTTGCTTATGACTGCTTTGAACATGTCAGGCCCCATCTGTTCCTGAAGGCATCCAAGATATGGGCATGACATTTTACCCAGAGCCTGAAACCGTTAAAATTCAGTCTTTGAAAAGATAAAGCTGAAAGAATGATGTTATCAATAAAAACAATGATTTCCTTTGGTGCAAGTTGAACAATTCGGTTGGTGACAGTATTTCAGATGTCATTTAAGTTTGTTAACTCTTATTCACAGTTCATCCCCCGTGACTGGTTGGGGAGCAGGGTGGAGAGGGATCTTGCTTCCATTGCACCTGACACTCCACTTTGCCCATATTTTATCACAGGATTTGCCATTGACTTGTCTCCCCTATCGAGGCTGTAAATCTACTAACTGATATATTAGGGTTCGATAAATGTTTGCCTTAATACACTTGACCTAAGTGGGCTCATTAATTCCCCTAGATTTAAAAATCATCCTTTCATTGATATAATTTCATCCCAAGTTAGGTTATCTCTCCTTGGCTATTATCTACTTTACATATTCATGAATCTCTTACAGAAATCTCAAAGTCAAAATATATCTCAAATTCTTCTATTTTGCTTCATTACCTTAGTCCGTGCCAGCATCATCTATCATCTGGACATTACAATAGGCTCCAAAATGATCTTGTTTGTATTCTTTTCCCCCACCAACCCAATCTCCCATTCTCTATATAATAGTCTTTTAGTTTTTGTCTGCATCCACACTCTCCTTCACTTCTTACCTCCCTGTATTAGTTTTAAGCAAATTTTTTATCCAGAACTATTATACTTAATATATGTGTGTATGTGTAGTAGATTATATAATATGCAATTATATACTATATGTACATATATACACATATATGTACAGACACAAATATACATACTCCTTTTTTGCTAAACATAACCACAATAGTGTTATCATATTTAAAAATGTAATGCTTTAAAATATCAAATATTTTTGAGTCAGTGTTCAAGTTCTCAATTACATTATAAATAGCATAGTTTTGACAGTTTTTAAAATATCAAGATTTGAATAAGATCAATGCATTGTGATTCATTATGTTTCATAAATCTATTTTAATATATAAGTCCCCCCAACCTTGTTTTTTTCCATTACTGTTTATTTGTTAAGGAACTGAATTGTTTCTCCTGAATGTCTCACACCCTGGAGTTTGCTTATCACATCTCTATAGTATATTTTAACACATCCCTTTGTCCTCAGTATTTCTTATAGATTTGTTGATGGCTTTAGGGGCTAGATTTAGAGAGACTCGATTCAGGTTTGATTTTTTCTGAGGGGGTGACTACTTCATAGGTGGCGTTGTATTCTCCTATGCTGATGTCTGGATATCCCTCACTTAGTGATATAGCAGATATTAATTAGATGCCTACATGCATTACTTCATAGGCTGTTATAAAACAATTTTTTTATATGAAAACAAGATTTTTTTAATGAAAACAAGATTTTTCATTCTTTCTTTGTTAATCAGATGGATTATTACACATCTAAAAAGAAAAATATCCTCTCATCTACTGTTCGGAGGGTAATGTTACTAAAATGAAAATAGAATTTTCTGGCTTTGGTAATAACCCTCCCTCTAAAGACAACTAAAAAACTGGGTAGAAAAAATAGTCTTAAAAGGAACAATAAGGAAAAACAATAGTGAAGAATTATGAAATTATGATCAGCTTGAGAAAGATAGGCAGCCTCAGTGGCTTCTGCCCGGGTGGTGTTCAAAGATTGGGACTAGGTTACCCTTTTGGCAGGTTAGTGTAGGAAGGAGATAAAAGTTGGAGTCAGGAGGTTAAGACCCTGAAGGGCTTCACCATTCAAAAATGTTTTTATGCTGGATACACGTTCCTATTCCAGGGAAAAGGATGAAAGGTAGAGTCACACACTACCTTGGCAGGGACAGGGATAAGAGTCCTGTGCCCTCTAATGGTGGGAAAATTGTTGAAACACTCCTTGCTCAGGACTCAGATCTCAAAGGGATATTGCTATGGACTAAACGTTTGTGTCCTTCTCCCAATTTATATGTTGAAATCTTGACTCCAAATCCACCACATTTGATGGTATTAGAAGGTGGATGTATTAGCTCATTCTTGCACTGCTATAAAGAAATACCTGAGACTGGGTAATTTATAAAGAAAAGAGGCTTAATTCGCTCATGGTTCTGCAGGCTGTACAGGAAGCATGATGCTGGCATCTGCTTGGCTTCTGGGGAGACCTCAGGAAACTTACAATTATGGCAAAAGGCAAAGGGGGAGCAGTCGTCTTACATGGTGGGAGCAGGAGCAAGAGAGCATGAGGGGAAGTGCTACACACTTTTAAATAAGCAGATCTCTATAAGAAGTTTGCTCTCTACCTGCTCTCTACCATGTGAGGACATAGTAGGAAGATGGCTGTCAGCAAACCAGGAAGAGTGCCTCACCAGACACTGGATCTACTAGCAACTTGACCTTGATTGTTTTAGCCTCAAGAGCTGTGAGAAATAAATATTTGTTGTTTAAGCCGCCTAGTCTATGGGTAATTTGTTATAGCAGCCCAAATCGACTAAGACAGATGTGCCCTGGGAATAAGGATATGACTATATTTTGGTAGGTCACCTTGGTGACTCAGAAAACCTTGGTTCCCACCAGGTACCTGACAGAAGGTAAAAAGTCTCTCTGAAGGAAAATAACACCGTCTAAGGCTTCAAATTGTTTCTATTAATAAGTTAAAAGTGGCCTGAAAACTATGAAAAACAATGAGATACACCAAGAGATAAAACAACATAAGCCAGAACCAGCAGAAAAAGTAGTTCAGAAGAGACATCAGATACTGAAATGAAGCTGGGCATGGTGGCTCATGCCTGTAATCCCAGCAGTTTGGGAGGCTGAGGCAGGTGGATCATTTGAGGTCAGGAGTTCAAGACTAGCCTGGGCAACATGGTGAAACCCTGTCTCTACTAAAAATACAAAATTAGCTGGGCATGGTGGTGCATGTGTGTAATCCTAGCTACTTGGGAGGCTGAGGCAGGAGAATCGCTTGAACCCAGGAGGCAGAGGTTGCAGTGAGCTGAGATCATGCCACGCACTCCAGCCTGGAGCCTGGGCAATAGAGTGAGACTCTGTCTCAAAAAAAAAACACCGAAATGATTCAATATGGATTGTAGAACCACTATGCTTACTACATTCATAGAGATAAAATCTGAGCTTAAAAATCTCAGCTGGGAGCTAGGTGCTATAGCATGACACTGAATGTTTTCCTCCTCATATCAGGAACTAGAAAAAGATATGTGCTCTTGTCACTTCTGTTTAACATTGTCCTGGAGGTTCTACTCAGGCAATTAGGATAAATAAAGAAATAAGCCAGATAAAACAAAACAAAAAAAGCCCTCATGATTCATTAGGATAATCATTAAGAGAGTGGAAAAGTGTGTGGAACTTCCAAACTAGTAGATAAAAAAACGTAGAATAATAAAAAGTAACCAACCCAAAAGAACGCATGAAAGGAGAGGAAAAGGAACATAGAAGAGGTGGCTTAATAAAACACATAATGAGATGACAGATCTAAACTCAAAAATATCAGTAATTTCACTAAATGTAAATGGATCAAATGCTCCAGTTAAGAAACAAGGTTTTTTAAAATTGAATTTAAGAAAAAACCAGTATAGGCTGTTTATAAGAGAAAGATTAAAAACAAAGTTTCAAAAAGGTTGAAAGTAAAATAATGGAAAAAGATACATCGTGGTTAGTTTTATCGTAACTTAAAAAAAGTTCATGTAGTTATATTATTATCACACAAGTAGACTTTAAGATAGAAAGTATTATTAGCACTAAAGTGCATCACTTCATAATCATAAAAGGTTCAAATCACTAGAAAGATTTTTTAAAACTGTAGTTTCTATACACTTTTAAAAATTTGTAATTTGTGTGATTTCTTTTCTTCTTCTTATTAATAATTTATTTATTTATTTTAAGAGGCAAGGTATCGCTTTGCTGCCCAGGCTGATCTTGAACTCCTGGCTTTGAGCAATCCTCCTGCCTTGGCCTCCCAAAGTGCTGGGACCACAGGTGTAAATCACACCTGGCCCCTTTCCTCGTTCTTAATAAACTTAGTTTTCTACCTAATTTTGTATTCACAATTCTATATTCTTTTGCTTATCTTCATCACAGATTTTTTATTCTTCCTAGTGCTTACCATGATTTTAAATTATTTTGTTGTAATTATTTGTTTCCTCTTTTAGGGGAGTGGGGGAGAACTTGATTTCATTTTAGAATGTAAGCCTTCGAAAGCACTGAAAATGTATTGCTTACCATTCTATCTCCAGAACTTATAAAAATGTTGGATGAATGAATGTGGAGGAGTGAATAAAGAAGAATGGAGAAAGGGGTACTATGGAACTAGCACAAATGTTCCCAGGGCAGGTATAAGCAAGGGTGATGAATCTGGGGCCAAAGTAAAAGGCACAGACTTAGGTAAAGGGTGACGCCAGGCAGGGAAATGAGAAAGCCCTCAGGATTCAGAGGGGAGATGACCCAATGCTTAGGGCAGATTCTGGGCAGCACAGAGGGAGCAAGAGAGGTGGGATGAGCCTCATGCAGGGGCCGGATGTGACTCTGCCTAAGGTGTCTGCTGTTTCCCATAAGTGGGTGTTTCCATTCCTGGCCTCTGAAGTGATGAGAATCATGTTCTGAAAACTCACTAAAATCAAAGCCCCTCTGTTTTCTTCAGCACTAGCTTTTGCCTGCAGTCATTATCTATAAAAGACAGCATGTGGACATGATAATTTTAAAGGAATTTTCCAGGTCTAACATTTTATTTTTTTTCCTGGCTTTCTTTTTTTTTTTTTCTCAGAACTTTATTCTCTGAATCATGTAAGCTGGAAATATGTCATTCTTGATGTTCCCTCTGTCCCCTCACTGTTCCAAAGTTTTAATGATAAATCTTTCTGTTTCCTCTTATTGATTCCTGTTTTAGTCTCCCTGGTTCAGAATTAATCACTTCTTACTTTCTAAGTGGTCTATCTGGTTCTAGTGCAGTCTCCTCACTTTCCTGGTGTTTGGTTTATCTTTCAAGTCACCATCTTGTTCATCATCCGAGTATTAAAACACATTTAAGGCTATCCCAATGTCTCAGGATAGAGTCTGAATTCTCTGATTGGTCTTTTTTTTAAAATCATAATTTTTGTGGGTATTTGTATATATTTATGTGGTACATGAGATATTTTGATCCAGGCATGCAATGCATAATAATCACAACGTGGAGAATGGGGTATGCATCCCCTCAAGCATTTATCTTTTGTGTTACAAACAATCCAATTATATTCTTTTTGTTATTTTAAAATACAATTAGGTTATTATTGACTATAGTCACCCTGTTGTGCTATCTAATAGTAGGTATTGTTCATTTTTTCTGTTTTTTTGTACCCATTAACCACGCCCACCTCTCCCCCAGGCCCCCACTACCCTTCCCAGCTTCTGGTAACCACCCTTCTACTCTCTGTCTCTAAGATTTCAATTGTTTTGATTTTTATATCCCACAAATAAGTCTCTGCTTGATCTTTAAGGGCTCCCAGATTTCTGTCTCAATCAACCATCCAACCTTATCTCCTACTACTTCCCTGAAAAAAACTTCTGCTCCCTCCAAACTGGTTTGGTTATTATTTTCCTCAATATATCATGTTCCTTTTGATTGCCATACTTTTGATGATTTCTTCTTTCCTCCTTGTAATGCCCTATTCATCATCTCCCATCAGGGATCTTAAATTAGTCCATTCTTGCACTGCTATAAAGAAATACCTGATACTGGGTAATTTAAAAAGAAAAAAGGTTAAATTGGCTCATGGTTCTACAGGCTGTACAGAATGCATGACAGCTTCTGGGGGACCTCAGGAAAGCTCCAATCATGGTGGAAGGCAAAGGGAAAGAAGGCATGTCTTACATGACTGGAACAGGAGAAAGAGAGATGGGGGAGGTATCACACACTTTTAAACAACTAGATCTTGTGAGAAGTCCCTCACTATCATGAGAATAGCATCCGTGATTCATCACCTCCCACAAGGCCCCACCTCCAATATTGGGAATTACCATTCAACATGAGATTTGGGTCAGGGCACAGATGCAAACTATATCATTCCACCCCTGGCCTCTCCCAAATCTCATGTCCTCTCACATTGCAAAATACAATCCTGCTTTTCCAACAGTCCTCCAAAGTCTTAACTCATTCTAGCATTAACTCAAAAGTCCAAAGTTTCATCTGAGACAAGGTTAGTCTCTTCTGCCTATGAGCCTGTAAAATAAAAAACAAGTTAGTTATTTCCAAGATACAAAAGAGGTACAGGCATTGGGTAAATACTCCTATTCCAAAAGGGATAAATTGGCCAAAACAAAGGGGCTACAGGCCCCATATAGTCCAAAGCCCAGCAGGGCAGTCATTAAATTTTTAAAAGACACAGACTGGCAAATTGGATAGAGTCAAGACCCATCGGTGTGCTATATTCAGGAGACCCATCTCACATGCAAAGACACAGGCTCAAAATAAAGGGATAGAAGAATATTTACCAAGTAAATGGAAAGCAAAAAAAAAAAAAAAAAAAAAAAGCAGGAATTGTAATCCTAGTCTCTGATAAAACAGACTTTAAACCAACAAAGATCAAAGAAGACAAAGAAGGGTATTACATAATGGTAAATGGATCGATGCAGCAAGAAGAGCTAACTATCCTAAATATATATGCACCCAATACAGGAGCACCCAGATTCCTAAAACAAGTTCTTAGAGACCTACAAAGAGACTTAGACTCCCACACAATAATAGTGGGAGACTTTAACACCCCACTGTCAATATAAGACAGATCAATGAGACAGAAAATTAACAAGGATATTCAGGACTTGAACTCAGCTCTGGACCAAGCAGACCTAATAGACATCTACAGAACTCTCCACCCCAAATCAACAGAATTTATATTCTTCTCAGCACCACATAGCATTTATCCTAAAATCGACCACATACATGGAAGTAAAACACTCCTCAACAAATGCAAAAGAATGGAAATCATAACAGTCTCTGAGACCACAGTGCAATCAAATTAGAACTCAGAATTAAGAAACTCACTCAAAACTGCACAACTACATGGAAATTGAGCAACCTGCTCCTGAAGGAATACTGGGTAAAAAACGAAATTAAGGCCGAAATAAGTATTTTGAAATCAATGAGAACAAAGAGGCAACATACCAGAATCTCTGGGACACAACTAAAGCAGTGTTAAGAGGGAAATTTGTAGCACTAAATGTCCACATCAGAAAACTGAAAAGATCTGAAATCAACACCCGAACATTGCAATTAAAAGAACTAGAGAAGCAATAGCAAACAAATTTTAGGAATCTGGGTGCTCCTGTATTGGGTGCATATATATTTAGGATAGTTAGCTCTTCTTGTTGCATCGATCCCTTTACCATTATGTAATACCCTTCTTTGTCTTCTTTGATCTTTGTTGGTTTAAAGTCTGTTTTATCAGAGACTAGGATTGCAATTCCTGCTTTTTTTTTTTTTTGCTTTCCATTTACTTGGTAAATATTCTTCTATCCCTTTTTTTTGAGCCTGTGTCTTTGCACGTGAGATGGGTCTCCTGAATACAGCACACTGATGGGTCTTGACTCTATCCAATTTGCCAGTCTGTATCTTTTAATTGGGGCATTTAGCCCATTTACATTTGAGGTTAATATTGTTAGGTGTGTGAATTTGATCCTGTCATCATGATGCTACATGGTTATTTTGCACATTAGTTGATGCAGCTTCTTCATAGTGTCATTGTTCTTTATATTTTGGTTTGTTTTTGCAGTGGCTGGTACCAGATTTTCCTTTCCATATTTAGTACTTCCTTCAGGAGCTCTTGTAAGGCAGGCCTAGTGGTGACAAAATCCCTCAACATTTGCTTGTCTGTAAAAGATTTTATTTCTCCTTTGCTTATGAAGCTTATTTTGGCTGGATATGAAATTCTGGGTTGAAAATTCTTTTCTTTAAGAATGTTGAATATTGGCCCCCACTCTCTTCTGGCTGGTAGGGTTTCTGCAGAGAGATCTGCTGTTAGTCTGATGGGCTTCCCTTTGTGGGTAACCTGACATTTCTCTCTGGCTGCCCTTAACATTTTTTCCTTCATTTCAACCTTGGAGAATCTGACAATTATGTGTCTTGGGGTTGCTCTTCTCGAGGAGTATCTTAGTGGGGTTTTCTGTATTTCCTGAATTGGAATGTTGGCCTGTCTTGCTACGTTGGGGAAATTCTCCTGGATAATATCCTGAAGTTTGTTTTCCAAATGGATTCCATTCTCCCCATCACTTTCAGGAACACCAATCAAACGTAGGTTTGATCTTTTCACATAGTCCTGTGTTTCTTGGAGGCTTTGTTCATTCCTTTTTATTCTTTTTTTTCTAACCTTGTCTTCATGCCTTATTTCAGTAAGTTGGTCTTCAATCTCTGATATCCTTTAGTCTGCTTGATCAATTCGGCTATTGATACTTGTGTATGCTTCATGGAGTTCTTATGCTATGTTTTTCAGCTTAATCAGGTCATTTATTTTCGTCTCTAAACTGGTTATTCTAGTTAGCAGGTCCTGTAACCTTTTATCAAGGTTCTTAGTTTGCGTTGGGTTAGAACATGTTCCTTTAGCTCAAAGGAGTTTGTTATTAACCACCTTCTGAAGTCTACTTCTGTCAATTTGTAAATCTCATTCTCTGTCCAGTTTTGTGCCCTTGCTGGAGAGGCATTGTGATCATTTGGAGGAGAAGAAGCACTCCGGTTTTTGGAATTTTCAGCATTTTTGTGCTGGTTTTTCCTCGTCGTCATGGATTTATCTACCTTTGATCTTTGAGGCTGATTACCTTTGGGTGGGGTTTTTGTATGGGGGTCTTTTTTTGTTGATGTTGATGTTGTTGCTTTCTGTTAGTTTTTTCTCTTTTTCTTCTAACAGTCAGTCCCCTCTTCTGTAGGCCTGCTGCAGTTTGCTCGAGGTCCACTCTAGACCCTGTTTGCTTGGGTATCACCAGTGGAGGTTGCAGAAGAGCAAAGATTGCTGTCTGGTCCTTCCTCTGGAAGCTTTATCCCAGAGGGTCACCGGCCTGATGCCAGCTGGAGCTGTCCTGTATGAGGTGTCAATCGACCCCTGTTGGGAGGTCTCTCCCAGTCAGGAGGCACAGGGGTCAGCAACCTGCTTGAGGAGGCAGTCTGTCCCTTAGCAGAGCTCGCTCACTGTGCTTGGAGAATCCTCCTTTTCAGGATCAGCTGCTCTCTTCAGAGCAGGCAGGCAGGAAAGTTTAAGTCTGCTGGAGCTGTGACCTCAGCCATCCCTTCCCCCAGGTGCTCTGTCCCAGGGAGGTGGGAGTTTTATCTGTAAGTCCCTGACTGGGCTGCTGCCTTTTTTTTTCAGAGATGCCCCACCCAGTGAGGAGCAATCTAGAGAGGCAGTTGTGCCACAGCTGCTTTGCTGCATTGTGGTGAATTCCGCCCAGTCCAACCCTCCTGGCCTCCTTAGCACTGTCAGGGGAGAACTGCCTACTAAAGCCTCAGTAATGGTGGATGCCCTTCGCCCAACCAAGCTCGATAGTCCCAGGTCAACTTCAGACAGCCGTGCTGGCAGTGAGAATTTCAAGCTAGTGGTTCTTAGCTTGCTATGTTCCATAGGTGTGGTACCCACTGAGTGAGACAACTTGGCTTCCTGGCTTGAGCCCCTTTCCAGGGGAGTGAACAGTTCTGTCTTGCTGGAGTTCCAGGCACCACTGGGGTATGAAAAAGGGCTCCTGCCGCTAGCCCAGTGTCATCCCAAACAGCTGCCTAGTTTTGTGCTTGAAACTTGGTGCCCTGGTGGTGTAGGCACACAAGGGAATTTCCTGATCTGCCGATTGCAAAAACTGTGGGAAAAGCGTAGTATTAAGGCCGGGTAGCACAGTCCCTCATGGCTTCCTTTGGCTGGGGGAAGGAGGTCCCTCGGCTCCTTGTACTTCCTGAGTGAGGCAACACCCCACCCTGTTTCTGCTCACCCTCCATGGGCTGCACCCACTGCCTAACCGGACCCAGTGAGATGAACTGGGAACCTCTGTTGGAAATGCAGAAATTGCCTGCCTTCTGCATTTGTCTTTCTGGGAGCTGCAGACCAGAGCTGTTCCTATTTGGCCATCTTGCCAGATTAACCCTATTTTTTTTTTTATACCCATTAACTATTTCCACCTCCCCCTCACTCATTCGCTAACCTCCTAATTCTGGTAACTATCCTTCTATTCTCTAGTTGCATGAATTCAATTGTTTTAATTTTTAGATCCCACAAATTAGTGAGAACATGCAATGTTTGTCTTTCTGTGCATGGCTTTTTTCACTTAACATAATGGCCTCCAGTTCCATTTAGGTTGTTGCAAATGACGAGGTCTCATTCATTTTTAATGGCTGAATAGTACTTCACTGTGTACAAGTACCACATTTTCTGTATCCACTCATCTCTTGATGGACACTTAGGTTGCTTCTAAATCTTGGATATTGTAAACAGTGCTGTAACAAACATGGGGGTGCAGATATTTCAATATACTGATTTCCTTTCTTTTGGGTATATACACAGCAGTGAAATTTCTCAATTGTATGGTAGCTTTATTTTTAGTTTTTTTTCTTTATTTTAAGAGGTACAGGTACAGTTTTGTTACATGGATATACTGCATAGTGGTGAAGTCTGGGATTTGAGTGAATAGTGTACGGTGTACCCACTAAGTAATTTCTTTTTTTTTTTTATTATACTTTAAGTTTTAGAGTACATGTGCACAACGTGCAGGTTTGTTACATACGTATACATGTGCCATGTTGGTGTGCTGCACCCATTAGCTCGTCATTTACATTAGGTATATCTCCTAATGCTATCCCTCCCATCTCCCCCCACCCCACAACAGGCCCCAGTGTGTGATGTTCCCCTTCCTGTGTCCAAGTGTTCTCATTGTTCAGTTCCCGCCTATGAGTGAGAATATGTGGTGTTTGGTTTTTTGTCCTTGCAATAGTTTGCTGAGAATGATGGTTTTCAGCTTCATCCATGTCCCTACAAAGGACATGAACTCATCCTTTTTTATGGCTGTATAGTATTCCACGGTGTATATGTGCCACATTTTCTTAATCCAGTCTATCATTGATGGACATTTGGGTTGGTTCCAAGTCTTTGCTATTGTGAATAGTGCTGCAGTAAACATACATGTGCATGTGTCTTTATAACAGCATGATTTATAATCCTTTGGGTGTATACCCAGTAATGGGATTGCTGGGTCAAATGGTATTTCTAGTTCTAGATCCCTGAGGAATCACCACACTGTCTTCCACAATGGTTGAACTAGTTTACAGTCCTACCAACAGTGTAAAAGTGTTCCTATTTCTCCACATCCTCTCCAGCACCTGTTGTTTCCTGACTTTTTCATGATCCCCATTCAAACTGGTGTGAGATGGTATCTCACTGTGGTTTTGATTTGCATTTCTCTGATGGCCAGTGATGTTGAGCATTTTTTCACGTGTCTGTTGTCTGCATAAATGTCTTCTTGTGAGAAGTGTCTGTTCATATCCTTCGCCCACTTTTTGATGGGGTTGTTTGTTTTTTTCTTGTAAATTTGAGTTCTTAGTAGATTCTGGATATTAGCCCTTTGTCAGATGAGTAGATTGCAGAAATGTTCTCCCATTCTGTAGGTTGCCTGTTCACTCTGATGGTAGTTTCTTTTGCTGTGCAGAAGCTCTTTAGTTTAATTAGATCCCATTTGTCAATTTTGGCTTTTGTTGCCATTGCTTTTGGTGTTTTAGACATGAAGTCCTTGCCCATGCCTATGTCCTGAATGGTAATGCCTAGGTTTTCTTCTAGGGTTTTTATGGTTTTAGGTCTAACATTTAAGTCTTTAATCCATCTTGAATTAATTTTTGTATAAGATGTGAGGAAGGGATCCAGTTTCAGCTTTCTACATATGGCTAGCCAGTTTTGCCAGCACCAGCACCATCTTATTAAATAGGGAATTCTTTCCCCATTTCTTGTTTTGTCAGGTTTGTCAAAGATCAGATAGCTGTAGATGTGTGGCATTATTTCTGAGGGCTCTGTTCTGTTCCATTGGTCTATATGTCTGTTTTGGTACCAGTACCATGCTGTTTTGGTTACCGTAGCCTTGTAGTATAGTTTGAAGTCAGGTAGCATGATGCCTCCAGCTTTGTTCTTTTGGCTTAGGATTGACTTGACAATGTGGGCTCTTTTTTGGTTCCATATGCACTTTAAAGTAGTTTTTTCCAATTCTGTGAAGAAAGTCATTGGTAGCTTGATGGGGATGGCATTGAATCTATAAATTACCTTGGGCACTATGGCCATTTTCATGATATTGATTCTTCCTATCCATGAGCATGGAATGTTCTTCCATTTGTTTGTATCCTCTTTTATTTTGTTGAGCAGTGGTTTGTAGTTCTCCTTGAAGAGGTTCTTCACACCCCTTGTAAGTTGGATTCCTAGGTATTTTATTCTCTTGGAAGCAATTGTGACTGGGAGTTCACTCATGATTTGGCTTTCTGTTTGTCTGTTACTGGTGTATAAGAATGCTTGTGATTTTTGCACATTGATTTTGTATCCTGAGACTTTGCTGAAGTTGCTTATCAGCTTAAGGAGATTTTGGGCTGAGATGATGGGGTTTTCTAAATATACAATCATGTCATCTGCAAACAGGTACAATTTGACTTCCTCTTTTCCTACTTGAATTCCCTTTATTTCTTTCTCTTGCCTGATTTCCCTGGCCAAAACTTCTAACACTATGTTGAATAGGAGTGGTGAGAGAGGGCATCCCTGTCTTGTGCCAGCTTTCAAAGGGAATGCTTCCAGTTTTTGCCCATTCAGTATGATATTGGCTGTGGGTTTGTCATAAATAGCTCTTATTATTTTGAGATATGTCCCATCAATACCTAGTTTATTGAGAGTTTTTAGCATGAAGGGTTGTTGAATTTTGTCAAAGGCCTTTTCTTCATCTATTGAGATAATCATGTGGTTTTTGTCTTTGGTTCTGTTTGTATGATGGATTACGTTTATTGATTTGCATATGTTGAACCAGCCTTGCATCCCAGGGATGAAGCCCACTTGATCATGGTGGATAAGCTTTTTGATGGTTGCTAGATTCGGTTTGCCAGTATTTTATTGAGGATTCTTGCATCGATGTTTATCAGGGATATTGGCCTAAAATTCTCTTTTTTTGTTGTGTCTCTGCCAGGCTTTGGTATCAGGATGATGCTGGCCTCATAAAATGAGTTAGGGAGGATTCCCTCTTTTTCTATTGATTGGAATAGTTTCCGAAGGAGTGGTACCAGCTCCTCTTTGTACCTCTGGTAGAATTCGGCTGTGAATCCATCTGGTCCTGGACTTTTTTTGGTTGGTAAGCTATTAATTATTACCTCAATTTCAGAGCCTGTTATTGGTCTATTCAGAGATTCAACTTCTTCCTGGTTTAGTCCTGGGAGGTTGTATGTGTCGAGGAATTTACCCATTTCTTCTAGATTTTCTAGTTTATTTGAGTAGAGGTGTTTATAGTATTCTCTGATGGTAGTTTGTATTTCTGTGGGATCGGTGGTGATATCCCCTTTATCATTTTTTATTGCATCTATTTGATTCTTCTCTCTTTTCTTCTTTAGACTGCAACAAAATTGCAGTCTATCAATTTTGTTGATCTTTTCCAAAAACCAGCTCCTGGATTCATTGATTTTTTGAAGGGTTTTTTGTGTCTCTATCTCCTTCAGTTCTGCTCTGATCTTAGTTATTTCTCACCTTCTGCTAGCTTTTGAATGTGTTTGCTCTAGCTTCTCCAGTTCTTTTAATTGTGATGTTAGGGTGTTGATTTTAGATCTTTCCTGCTTTCTCTTGTGGGCATTTAGTGCTATAAATTTCCCTCTACACACTGCTTTAATGTGTCCCAGAGATTCTGGTATGTTGTGTCTTTGTTCTCATTGGTTTCAAAGAACGTCTTATTTCTGCCTTCATTTCAACTTTGGCGAATCTGACAAATGTGTCTTGGAGTTGCTCTTCTCGAGGAGTATCTTTGTGGCGTTGTCTGTATTTCCTGAATTTGAATGTTGGCCTGCCTTGCTAGATTGGGGAAGTTCTCCTGGATAATATCCTGCAGAGTGTTTTCCAACTTGGTTCCATTCTCCCAGTCACTTTCAGGTACACCAATCCGACGTAGAGTTGGTCTTTTCTCATAGTCCCATATTTCTTGGAGGCTTTGTTTTTTTCTTTTTATTCTTTTTTCTCTAAACTTCTCTTCTCACTTCATTTCATTCATTTGATCTTCCATCACTGATACCCTTTCTTCCAGTTGATCATATCCGCTACTGAAGCTTGTGCACTCGTCATGTAGTTCTCGTGCCATGGTTTTCACCTCCATCAGGTCCTTTAAGGACTTCTCTGCATTGGTTATTCTAGTTAGCCATTTGTCTAATCTTTTTCAAGGTTTTTAACTTCTTTGCCATGGGTTCGAACTTCCTCCTTTAGTTCGGAGAAGTTTGATCATCTGAAGCCTTCTTCTGTCAACTCGTCAAAGTCATTCTCCGTCCAGCTTTGTTCTGTTGCTGGTGAGGAGCTGCGTTACTTTGGAGGAGGAGAGGCACTCTGATTTTTAGAATTTTCAGTTTTTCTGCTCTGTTTTTCCCCCATGTTTGTGGTTGTATCTACTTTGGTTTTTGATGATGGTGATGTACAGATGGGGTTTTGATGTGGATGTCCTTTTTGTTCGTTAGTTTTCCTTCTAACAATCAGGACCCTCAGCTGCAGGTCTGTTGGAGTTTGCTGGAGGTCCACTCCAGACCCTGTTTGCCTGGGTATCACCAGCGGAGCCTGCAGAACAGCGAACATTGGTGAACAGCAAACGTTGCTGCCTGATTGTTCCTCTGGAAGTTTTGTCTCAGAGGGGTTCCCGGCCGTGTGAGGTGTCAGTCTACCCCTACTTGGGGGTGCCTCCCAGTTAGGCTACTCGGGGGTCAGGACCCCACTTGAGGAGGCAGTCTGTCCATTCTCAAATCTCAAGCTGTGTGCTGGGAGAACCACTACTGTCTTCCAAGCTGTCAGACAGGGACATTTAAGTCTGCAGAGGTTTCTGCTGCCTTTTGTTTGGCTATGCCCTGCCCCCAAAGGTGGAGTCTGCAAAGGCAGGCAGGCCTCCCTGAGGTGCGGTGGGCTCCACCAAGTTCGAGTTTCCCAGCTGCTTTGTTTACCTACTCAGGCCTCGGCAATGGCGGGCGCCCCTCCCCCAGCCTTGCTGCCGCCTTGCAGTTTGATCTCAGCCTGCTGTGCTAGCAATGAGCGAGGCTCCGTGGGCGTAGGACAATCCGAGCCAGGCACGGGATATAATCTCCTGGTGTGCCGTTTGCTGAGACCATCAGAAAAGCTCAGTATTAGGGTGGGAGCGACCCAATTTTCCAGGTGCCATCTGTCACAGCTTCCCTTGGCTAGGAAAGGGAATTCCCTGACCCCTTGTGCTTCCTGGGCGAGGCGATGCCTTGCCCTGCTTCGGCTCATGCTCGGTGCGCTGCACCGACTATCCTGCACCCACTGTCCAACAATCCCCAGTGAGATGAACCAGGTACCACAGTTGGAATTGCAGAAATCATCCGTCTTCTGTGTCGCTCACCCTGAGAGCTGTAGACTGGAGCTATTCCTATTTGGCCATCTTGGAACCACCCCCCTATTTTTAGTTTTTTGAGGAACCTCCAAACTGTTCTCTGTAGTAGCTATACTAATTTACATTCCCACCAACAGTTTATGAGGGTTCCCGTTTCTCCTTATCCTCACCAGCATTTGTTATTGCCTGACTTTTGGACAAAAGCCATTTTAACTGGGGTGAGATATGTCTCATTGCAATAAAAAACCACAAAAATATGTGGCTTAAATCAATAAATATTTATTTCTTGCTCAAGCAAAGGCCATTCTGTGTCAGGGGAGCTCTCTGGAGCTCATATTTTCCAATGATGGTTCAGCATTTCACCTTCATGCCAACATTTGATTTATTATTCCAACAATGAAACAATGGGGTGGGGCATTGAGTATGAGCAATTAAAAGCTTATATGTGGAAGTAAAACATATGACTTCTACTCCAATTTTTTTGGTGAAAGTAAGCCACACCTAACCTCAAGGAACTCAAGAAAAGGCAATTCCCCAGTGGGCCTGAAAGAAAAAGAATTATGCGGCAGTGATATCCACCACAGATGTCAACTTTTTATTCTGCTAGGTAAGGACATCAGACACACACACACACACACACACACACACACACACACACACACACCCCACCCCATCCTATCCTTTAAAGCCACCATCATTTCCTTAAATAACTTACTTTTTAACATTATGCACAAAATTACCTATTAAAATTTCAGCACAATTTTTTATTTTCTGTGCTCTTCCCTGTATCTTAGGAAATCGAACTACATTTTTCAGAATCCCTTACAGTAGGATACCTCATCATATTCTTTCAATGAATGACATTCACATGTGATTTGGAAGTCAGAGGAAAAGCAAAAGCCATTATTGCTGCTAGGACTGTGGTAAGCAGAGGATGTGCTTTGGTAAACAGGAGATATGTTCTCACTGGCCTCCTATAAATCACCCATTTAGTGCTCTTGGCAGCTGAGATTGCTGGTGATAGCCTCTCAGAATTTCTGTACTTTCAGTCCCCTGGTCATTTCTACATTTTTGAAAGCCTCTAACTCTGAGATTTATTCTTTCTTGTTTGAAATATCTAGAGGAGCTTTTCTGACTGCTAAAGTATATGGCACTAAGAAACAGGTTATCAAATATGGAGTTAGATCTGGTTAGATTTGAAGCAACAATAATCTCACCTATTAGAGAAAAACAGATATTGGTATGTCATGGCATATAGTGGGAAAATAGCTACTTAAATTACTGCATGTAGTTGCTTATAATAAAGTTCCTGTTGAAGGCAAGGCTTTGGGGGATTAAGTGGCTGCTTAATCCATTATATCCATATAGAATATCTGCATATTCATTATATCCATAGAGAGTACTGAAATACTTTATCAGTCAGAAAAGCCCCTCAAGGTATTTCAAGCAAGAAGGAAAAAATATCAGAGGTAGAGACTTTCAAAAATCTACTCTATCCATATAGAGTATATGGATAATTCATATGCAGACCACATGGACACTAGGGTGGGACAGCTGCTTCTGACTTCATTGGAGAGGATTCAAAAAGAAAATGAAAAACTCAAGACGTAAATTTTTTGGCTCAAAACAGTCAGATTGGGAGGCTGAGGCAGGCGGATCATGAGGTCAGGAGATGGAGAGCATCCTGGCTAACACGGTGAAACCCCGTATCTACTAAAAATACAAATAAATTAGCCAGGCGTGGTGGCGGGCGCCTGTAGTCCCAGCTACTCAGGAGGCTGAGGGAGGAGAATGACGTGAACCCAGAAGGTGGAGCTTGCAGTGAGCCGAGATCACGCTACTGCACTCCAGCCTGGGCGACAGAGCGAGACTCCGTCTCAAAAAACAAAACAAAACAAAACAAAAACAATTAGCTGGGTGTGGTGGCGGGCTCCTATAGTCCCAGCTACTCAGGAGGCTGAGGGAGGAGAATGGCGTGAACCCGGGAGGCGGAGCTTGCAGTGAGCCGAGATCATGCCACTGCACTCCAGCCTGGGTGACAGAGCAAGACTCCGTCTCAAACAAACAAACAAAACAAAACAACACAAAACTGGAAAGCTTTTATGATTGTCATAAAAGAAACTTACGTTTAATTCTACAATCCACAGCATCAAATTTTGGGTCTAATTTTTTTGATAAAGATCAGACCCAAACTTTGATGTTGTGGGTTGCAGAATTAGAGGAAATTTGGATTCATGGCTCACTAGATTCTTTTGTAAAAGTTGGGGCATTGATTGGAAAGAATAAAATTCTGAACTGGAATAGAGACTTCTAGATAGATTCCAGTGATCTGAATTTTTTTAATAAGCTCCCTTGTTGGAAGTATCTGTAATGATCTCAGCCATGGTCATTTCAAAGGGATTGCAAGGGGATGCAAGTGCATCTCAAAACTCATCTCTCCACCTTTTATTGTCTCTAGACCCATAACCAGAGTTAGATTCCCAAAGGCCTCAGGAGGCAAGTAAAAAGGCTGACTTTGGAGGAGAATTACAAGGTTTGCCAATTTATATCAGTCAGCAAAAGGAACATAGCCTGCCAAAACCTTGATTTTTAGCCCTGTAGGACCTATTTTCAGGCTTCTGACCTCCAGAAATGTAATATAATAAATTTGTGTTGCTTTAAGCCACTGATTTTGTGGTAATTTGTTATAATAGCAATAGGAAACATACAATCATCTACTAAAGTTTTACGTAATATAGGTAGTCAAAGAAAAGTTCTATAGGTCTGGTGAACAGAGATTATGGCTTGAGTAGCCACAACATATCCCCTAATTCCAAGATCTAAACCAGCAATCAAAGAGGAACCCCTTGGATGAAGGGAAGGACACATCATTTTGAGGGAGCATCCTGCAGCATGTCCATGAATATGTACTGTAAATCTCTCCCCCAGTCTTTCCTAAGGCCTCTGTGAACTGGAAACTTCAAAATACCTAGACTTTACAAGAGTTTTATGCAGTGAGCTGACACTAATTACTGATAACCCAAATTGTACTGTAGTCTGTCAGAGTAGGTACTTACAGATGTCAGATGACACAGATAATTTTTGCCTGAGTTCATCTCACGCTGGGTGTACTAGTTTTCTATTGCTGTGTTACAGATTATCACAAACTCAGTGGATTAAAACAATACCCTTTTCTTTAAGCTCACCATTCTGTAAAGCAGAAGGCTGTGCAAGATTGGCTGGGTTCCCTGCTTATGGAACCAAGGCCATGGTTCCATGGCCATGGTCTTCCAAGGCCAAAGTCAGGGTGTCTACTGGGCTGGACTCTTATCTGGAGGCCCTAGGGAGGAATCCTCTTCTAAACTCATTTAGGTTTTGGGCAGAATTCAGTTCCTTGTGGTTGTAGGACTGGGGCCCTAATTTTCTTGCTGGCTATTGGCCATAGGGTCCTCCTCTGATCCTAAAGGCTTCCCACATTCCTTCCTGTGTGACTCCCTTCATATTCAAAGACAGGAATGGAATGGCACACAGAGTTCTTCTTATGCATTGACTCTCTGACATTCCTTTATACCACCAGCTATAGAAGGCTCTCTGCTTTCAAGGGCTAATATTATTAGATCAGGCTCAGCTAGACAACCTTCTTGTCTTAAAGTCAATTCTGCTATATAATATAACACAGTAATGGGAATGAGAACTAATCATATTCACAGGTTCCAGGAATCAGGATGGGACATCTTTGGGAGACCATTTTAGAAATTCTGCCTACCATAGTGGGCCACATGGATCCATGAGCCCACTCAGCAATTATTTTCTCAATTCCTGAATACATGGTTGGAATAGACACTCTTGGCTACTGGAAGAATCACAACATTGGGCCCTTGACTTGCAAAAAGGGATTTATTATTATAGGAAAGGCCAAGTAGAAGCCTGGGCGACATGGTAGGGAATAGTGTTAGCTTCAGTCTCTGGTACTGAGTATGGAGCTATTAGTCTAGGATATGCTTTATTTTCTGAATGAACAGAAAAGACCACCAGAAACAATAACTTTTTCTTTTTATGTGATTGGGATAATAGTATTCCCTTACTGTTTTACCCAGTGCCATGTCAGCTGTCAAAATTGAGAACACAGAGACATTGATTATCTCACCTTCCTGTAGAATATCATGCTATCCACTTCATTGATAACATAGTGTTGATGGACCTAGTTAAAAGGAACTGGCAAATATTCTAGGTGCCTTTGCTAGATATATGCATTACAGAGGTTGGGAGAGAAACTTACAACCTTAGTGAAGTTTCTAGGAATTGTGTAGTCTGGGGCATATGGAGATTAGCTCCTTCAAGTGAAAGACAAATTACTGCATATTGAGTGTTATTACTAATAAAAAGGCGTAGTACTTAATGGGATATTTGGATTCTGGTGGCAACATGTCTCTTATCTGAATTTGCTGCTCTAACTTATTAAGTAATAAATAAAGATAAGCTGATATGATACTTGAGTTTTATGACCTGTTTGGTCCCATTATGCCCAAAGCATCTGGTAAGAATGTTGTATGGTGTGCAGAGACACACATAGGCTCAAAATAAAGGGATGGAGGAAGATCTACCAAGAAAATAGAAAACAAAAAAGGCAGGGTTGCAATCCTAGTCTCTGATAAAACAGACTTTAAACCAACAAAGATCAAAAGAGACAAAGAAGGCCATTACATAATGGTAAAGGGATCAATTCAACAAGAAGAGCTAACTATCCTAAATATATATGCACCCAATAAAGGAGCACCCAGATTAATAAAGCAAGTCCTTAGAGACCTACAAAGAGACTTAGACTCCCACACAATAATAATGGGAGACTTTAACACCCCACTGTCAACATTATATCAACGAGACAGAAAGTTAACAAGGATATCCAGGAATTGAACTCAGCTCTGCACCAAGCAGACCTAATAGACATCTGCAGAACTCTACATCCCAAATCAAAAGAATATACATTCTTCTCAGCACCACATCGCACTTATTCCAAAATTGACCTCATAGTTGGAAGTAAAGCACTCCTCAGCAAATGTAAAAGAACAGAAATTATAACAAATTGTCTCTCAGATGACAGTGCAATCAAACTAGAACTCAAGATTAAGAAACTCATTCGAAACTGCTCAACTACATGGAAACTGAGCAACCTGCTCCTGAATGACTACTCGGTACATAACGAAATGAAGGCAGAAATAAAGATGTTCTTTGAAACCAACGAGAACAAAGACACAACATACCAGAATCTCTGGGACACATTTAAAGCAGTGTGTAGAGGGAAATTTGTAGCACTAAATGCCCACAAGAGAAAGCAGGAAAGATCTAAAATCGACACCCTAACATCACAATTAAAAGAACTGGAGAAGCTAGAGCAAACACATTCAAAAGCTAGCAGAAGGCAAGAAATAACTAAGATCAGAGCAGAACTGAAGGAGATAGAGACACAAAAATCCCTTCAAAAAATCAATGAATCCAGGAGCTGGTTTTTGGAAAAGATCAACAAAATTGATAGACTGCTAGCAAGACTAATAAAGAAGAAAAGAGAGAAGAATCAAATAGATGCAATAAAAAATGATAAAGGGGATATCACCACCGATCCCACAGAAATACAAACTACCATCAGAGAATACTATAAACACCTCTACTCAAATAAACTAGAAAATCTAGAAGAAATGGGTAAATTCCTCGACACATACAACCTCCCAGGACTAAACCAGGAAGAAGTTGAATCTCTGAATAGACCAATAACAGGCTCTGAAATTGAGGCAATAATTAAGAGCCTACCAACCAAAAAAAGTCCGGGACCAGACGGATTCACAGCCGAATTCTACCAGAGGTACAAAGAGGAGCTGGTACCATTCCTTCTGAAACTATTCTAATCAATAGAAAAAGAGGGAATCCTCCCTAACTCATTTTATGAGGCCAGCATCATCCTGATACCAAAGCCTGGCAGAGACACAACAAAAAAGGGAATTTTAGACCAATATCCCTGATGAACATCTATGCAAAAATCTTCCATAAAATGCTGGCGAACTGAATCCAGCAGCACATCAAAAAGCTTATCCACCATGATCAAGTGTGCTTTGTCCCTGGGATGCAAGGCTGGTTCAACATATGCAAATCAATAAACATAGTCCAGCATATAAACAGAACCAAAGACCAAAACCACATGATTATCTCAATAGATACAGAAAAGGCCTTTGACAAAATTCAATAGCCCTTCATGCTAAAAACTCTCAATAAACTAGGTATTGATGGGACGTATCTTAAAATAATGAGAGCTATTTATGACAAACCCACAGCCAATATCATACTGAATGGGCAAAAACTGGAAGCATTCCCTTTGAAAGCTGGCACAAGACAGGGATGCCCTCTCTCACCACTCCTATTCAACATAGTGTTGGAAGTTCTGGCCAGGGCAATCAGGCAGGAGAAAGAAATAAACGGTATTCAATTAGGGAAAGGGGAAGTCAAATTGTCCCTGTTTGCAGACGACATGATTGTATATTTAGAAAACCCCATCATCTCAGCCCAAAATCTCCTTAAGCTGATAAGCAACTTCAGCAAAGTCTCAGGATACAAAATCAATGTGCAAAAATCACGAGCATTCCTATACACCAATAACAGATGAACAGAGAGCCAAATCATGAGTGAACTCCCATTCACAATTGCTTCCAAGAGAATAAAATACCTAGGAATCCAACTTACAAGGGATGTGAAGGACCTCTTCAAGGAGAACTACAAACCACTGCTCAACGAAATAAAAGAGGACACAAACAAATGGAAGAACATTCCATGCTCATGGATAGGAAGAATCAATATCATGAAAATGGCCATAGTGCCCAAGGTAATTTATAGATTCAATGCCATCCCCATCAAGCTACCAATGACTTTCTTCACAGAATTGGAAAAAACTAAAGTGCATATGGAACCAAAAAAGAGGATGCATTACCAAGACAATCCTAAGCCAAAAGAACAAAGCTGGAGGCATCACGCTACCTGACTTCAAACTATACTACAAGGCTACAGTAACCAAAACAGCATGGTACTGGCACCAAAACAGAGATATAGACCAATGGAACAGAACAGAGCCCTCAGAAATAATACCACATATCTACAACCATCTGATCTTTGACAAACCTGACAAAACAAGAAATGGGGAAAGGATTCCCTATTTAATAAATGGTGCTGGGAAAACTGGCTAGCCATATGTAGGAAGCTGAAACTGGATCCCTTCATTACACTTTATACAAAAATTAATTCAAGATGGACTAAAGACTTAAATGTCAGACCGAAAACCATAAAAACCCTAGAAGAAAACCTAGGCATTACCATTCAGGACATAGGCATGGGCAAGGACTTCATGTCTAAAACACCAAAAGCAATGGCAACAAAAGCCAAAATTGACAAATGGGATCTAATTAAACTAAAGAGCTTCTACACAGCAAAAGAAACTACCATCAGAGTGAACAGGCAACCTGCAGAATGGGAGAAAATTTTTGCAGTCTACCTGTCTGACAAAGGGCTAATATCCAGAATCTACAAAGAACTTAAACAAATTTACAAGAAAAAATCAAACAACCCCTTCAAAAAGTGGGTGAAGGATATGAACAGACACTTCTCACAAGAAGACATTTATGCAGCCAACAGACACATGAAAAAATGCTCAACATCACTGGCCATCAGAGAAATGCAAATCAAAACCACAATGAGATACCATCTCATACCAGTTAGAATGGCTATCATTAAAAAGTCAGGAAACAACAGGTGCTGGAGAGGATGTGGAGAAATAGGAACACTTTTACATTGTTGGTGGGACTGTAAACTAGTTCAACCATTGTGGAAGACAGTGTGGTGATTCCTCAAGGATCTAGAACTAGAAATACCATTTGACCCAACCATCCCATTACTGAGTATATACCCAAAGGATTATAAATCATGCTGCTATAAAGACACATGCACACGTATGTTTATTGTGGCACTATTCACAATAGCAAAGACTTGGAACCAATGCAAATATCCATCAATGATAGACTGGATTAAGAAAATGTGGCACATATACATCATGGAATACTATGCAGCCATAAGAAAGGATGAGTTCATGTCCTTTGTATGGACATGGATGAAGCTGGAAACCATCATTCTGAGCAAACTATCGCAAGGACAAAAAACCAAACACCAGAAGTTCTCACTTGTAGATGGGAATTAAACAATGAGGACACTTGGACACAAGAAGGGGGACATCACACACTGGGGCCTGTTGTGGGGTGGGGGGAGGGGGGAGGGATAGCATTAGGAGATATACCTAATGTAAATGACGAGTTAATGGGTGCAGCACACCAACGTGGCACATGTATACATATGTAACAAACCTGCACGTTGTGCACATGTACCCTAGAACTTAAAGTATAATAATAATAAAAAAGAATGTTATGTGGAGGCTCTTGCAAGACTTAGTAAGAGAGTCACTTTGAAGAACATCTAGAATTTTGGAGCAAAGTCATGCCCTTCTCCTGCATTTGAGAAACAGCTTATTGGTTGCTAATTGGCCCTGGTAGAGATCAAATTTTGATCATGGGATAACAAGTGATTATGTGACTTGAACTGTCCAATATAAAGTAGTTATAATGTTGGACATAAACAGCAGCCTTCCACCATCAAGTGGAAATTGTACTGTGTCCAATAACTTTTGTTGGTCTTTCCAGATACATTTTTTACCTTGTTATTTCCCTCGGGAGATGACCATACACAATATCAGTAGACAATAACTATTACGTCCCCTGATTTCCAGCTTCTGGTTGGGTTGAATCAATTAGGAGCCTGGTGGGAGACTGAAAAAAGAGGAGGGAAGTTCCTTTCATGCAAGGTTACCTTGGGTTTGCTGTGTCCCTTAGCCAAAAGTCCTTTAATCTTGAACTTCTCTGAAGGAAGCCCTCTTCACGTAAGTTTCTCTTTTTGGATTACACTACCTGGTTCTCTTCTTTTGCTACTTCAAACTTAGGGAAGGTAAAAGCCCCAGGGTATTACACTATCCTTTTGTGATTTTCCCACACTCTGCACATACATTTGTTAATAATTTCTTCATTAAACCCTCCTCACATGATCTTATTTTGATGGCCTCATTCATTCCTGGTTCAGGACCTGACTGATGCAGTGTCTGGTACTAGAATTAACCACAAGAAAACAGAGCCTGAAAATTGGATTCTAGTTTGGGTTAATTATTCATATGAGTGGAACTGAGATATGCGTATTTCCAGAGTCATACGATTGCATCACAATCACTCAGATTATCATTGTTAGTAGCAAGGGATAAAGTGCAGGTGAAAAGAAAAGTGTTGGTAGATTACGTCCTAAAGACACAAATAAATTTTGTAAGCAGGTGGGTCAGACTCCTGGGGGAGTTCCCTTCAACAGACTAATGAGAGAGGAAAAAACTCGCTTAAAGATGGTACATTGACACATGGGTGGCTCTGACAGTAAGGAAAGAAAGATCTATTGTTTATTCAGTTGTGTGCCCGCTGGAAGATGACACTTTGTGAGTGGGGTGCTGTACTATAAGAAGTGGTATATGCTATGAGCTAAGAAGTTATACAAAGTGCTGTTTCTTCCATTTTTTCCCATTATCCCATAGTCTACAAATGGGGGTGGAGTTACCTGGCTTCTCTTTCTATTTTACCTAATAACCCATTCACATACATTTTGCTTTCCATTTCTGCAACTTTTGCCTCTGTTCTTCTGAAGAACCTCCAAAGTGTCTTCCATATCAGTCCCATTTTTATAGATAAGGAAACCTAGGCAAACAGAGGTTAAGTAACTTGCCTAAATTCACATAGCTGTCAAGTGGAAAGGCCAAGCTCAAACCAGTCTGTCAGACTCCAAAGCCCATGATTCTTTGATTATACTCCGAAGAAGACAAAGCAGGAATGTAGGCTAAAAGAAGGTAGGCAAATGGTATGAGCAAAGAGGTTTATGTAAAGTTTCAGTCACCAGGATAAACAAAGCAAAACTCAGTAGGACCCTTTTGCAATAATTTCAAATCCTATGATAGGAAACACAGAAGGATTGGGTGGAAGGAGACCTTCTAGCTATGGAGCCTCCTAGTGTGAAGGGCAAGTGCACCAACCCCAGCCCCACCTCCCCAGCACACTATTTTTGTGCATGTGGTTGTTAGGGAGCTAATGCCAGGATAGAGCCCAGAATTAACCCCAGAGAACATCAGAGCTATATGTTCTTCATGCACTTGGCAATTCTCAAGTGCCATACCTTTGCTAAGTGACTGGGAAAGGTAAGTGTTTACTTAGGATATTGCAGGGCAAGACTTCGAGGGAATCTGTTAGATACAAGTTTAAATTCTCTTAAATCTAGGGTAGTGCTCAGAGGGATCCAAGACCTCAAAGAGCATTTTTGGGTCCTGGCCTGATATTGTTTGGAATCCTGAGTTGCTCCTGGCATCTGGAGGAGCTGGAGGGTTGTCTGGCTGCTTGAAAAGGCCAAGAAAATCCTGCCATTTCATCTTCCCAATGTGTTACAGAAAAGTTTCCCAAGCTTGTGAATGGAGTGTCAATTCCAAACTTTGTCCCTTTGGGCCAGCAGAAAGCATTGAGTCCTCTTATAAAAGCAGATCATTCAGAGTGGAGAAACAGCAAAGTTTTAAAGTGGAATGTGATGTGTGTGTGTGTGTGTGTGTGTGTGTGTGTGTGTGTGTGTGTGTCCCTTAGAAGAAAGCCTCTTTCAGAATGGAAAACATTTAGTATTAATTGTTGTGAGGTGTCCTCATTAAACTTCCCATTGCTCTGTGCAAGGTCATGGTAGGTGCTCAAAGGGACTGGACAGATGCAGAACAAGTGTAAAAGGGAATGCTCAGGTGTAAAAGAGCAGTGCCCACCTCTGTCTCTGGCTCTCTTCCTCCTGGGGTTTGCCCTTACAAATTGCTCCTGGGTTTTTAACTGTGCTGGGGAGTTGCTACTACTACATACAGCCCTCAGGGCACAGTTCCTTCCAGGACACTCAGAGTATCTGCATCAGTGTTACCTGGAATGGCACTGAAAATGCAGATTCCTCATATGGAATCCAGATTACCCTGACATGTTACTTAGAAAAGCTTCTCTGGGTATTCTTACAAATGAAAGTCTAGACCATTTCTGCAGGGGCTTCTACCTGTTACCCAATATTGACAGTCAATTCTAAGAGCTTTATCTATATTTTTTCATTTAATCTTGACAATATTCCCCCGGTTAAGAACTATTATTATCTCCAGAATTTTTACAGAAGCTGAACATGAGGCACAGGGAAAGTAAATAACTTGTTCCGGGTCACATAGCAATTAGTGGAGTCAGCATTCGAACTCAGAGAGTTTACAGAAAACATGCTCTTAGTCATTATGGTAAGCCCTGTGGATTAATCCTTCTTTTCTTTATGTTGATCAAGATCAAATTGTGTTTTTTCTTCTTGCTGATGAACTTTGCTAAGGGATGAAGGGGAAACACATTTTCAGTGGAGAATTTCTTTATCCCTTCTACATAAGAACTGTCTGGACATGGTAGGTTTGGTTGACATAGCTTCCCCAGAGCAATCCACGTCCTGTCCTTAACTCATGAGGAAACACTTTGCCTCCACTCTGCTCCAACCTGCCCTTTCGACCTTACTTCCTGCTCCGGTGCAGGAACCTGGCTCCAGGTCAGCAGATCTATATACTTCCTCATGCCTACATCTTGGCCTAGCCAGTGTGGTTGCTTTGGCTTTCCCACCTAGTAAAGGACAAACATATGCTTATGCAATCTTCAAAGACCAGCCAGTTCAAATATTCCCTTTTCAGAGAAGGTATCAGAAAGTCCACAAAAAGCCTTTATCTTGTGAGGTCCCAGGGCCACTTAGCAGCCTGAGACCCACTTTTTGGGGCTTCTTTCCTCTCCTGTAGCAGGCGCAATGCTTAGCTACCTTTTCTCTTATAGCTTCTCTAGCTGAGTGGGGGCGGGCTTTGTTTGCTTCTTGACTTGTGAAGAGTGGGTTTCTCATTGTCCTGAAGGCAGATACATGGCCCTTTCCACTTGAAGAGTTTTAGTCCCATTCGTTATGCAAGCATCAAAAATCTTGCAGCTTAAGGAAACTTACTTTATTTTGTCATCGCCTCTGGTTCACAGCTCAATTCTCTTCCTGAGATGGTTACTGAGATAAACTTTCTCCTCCATGTTTTTCCCCTGAGGATGAAGTTTCATTAGCCTCTCTCCTCTTGTCAATGCCCACAAGTGAATACAATGCAGTTATCTTGGTGCAGTGCTCTCTGTCCAAAGTAGGGGCCTTGAGTTTCGACTTCTTTAACACATTTTGGCAGGCCTGTGTTCTGCTCAGAAGGGCTACCTTCAGACATTTCCTCTGAAAAGTCTGTCCTGCCCATTTCTTCCTGAGGTGAGCTCCTCAATTTTTAGGTCATGTATGAGAGAACAGCTCTACTTTTACTATATAATCACCATTACTCTAAGTGTACATGCTTTAATATTGTGATATTATAATATCACAATGTTATAGTTACACAAATAATACTGAGTAGAACCATTCCTCCTGAAAGGAAGTCAAGAACAGTAGAGAAGAGAGAGGCTTGATGAGGTTACTTACATGAGGGCGTGATCTATTCACCGTTTTGCTCTGACCAAAAAGGAGGAACCTAACAGATATTTCTCAAGACAGGAAAAGGAGGGAATCTGCTACCTTTTGGGCTCTGGAGGTTAGTCAGTGATGTGAAGCAGAGAGATCCTGGGGAAGAAGTGGGCCTTAGGAGGCACTATAATGAAGGGGCTGAAGGGAGGACCCAGGAGTCAATGAGGTGGATTTCCATCTGGCTGTTCCATTCACCAGCTGTGGAACCTTAATGTAGACATATTAATGAATTGCTGTGTCTTTATCTATTAGATAATAATAATTATCCCTACTTTGTAGAATTGTTGTGAAGGCTGATGAGTTAATATGTGTGAAGTGCAAACGAGAATGCTTGACATATAGTAAATGCTGTATAAGTGTTGGCTACCTAAAGGCCATATGACCACTGAGAGAAAGGAAAAGAAGGAGAGATGAAATGAGGGAGAGCAGGAGAGAAATGTGTTTGGGGAAAAACACAGAACTTACAGGTGGAGGGACTTTCAGGAAATCCGAGGAAGCATCTGGTCAGCAAATAGAGCAGAAAGTCAGGAAAGGGTGCTTGGATCAGGGAGGGAAATGTATACCTTGAGGAAGCAGGGGGCCAGGAGCTCTCATGAGAGGAAGAGATGGATGGAGAATCTAATTGGTGCACCTCCTTGGTCCTGTAGGAATACTGAGGGACCCAAAGAAGAGAGTGAGAAGGCATGTGTATCTCACCAGACCTCAAAGTGGTGCCCAGCCAGAGTCTCATGGGCTTGGGTATCTCAGAAGTTTGGCCTCAGGTGCAATTAAGACACAGATGAAAGAGCCCTTGACAACCAGGATGTTGTGCCAGCCAAGTCAAGTTGTAGCCAGGTTTCTGTTACTTTAAGATGAAGAAACTATGTTCAATTACTTTACCACTCAGGAGGATATTTAAATTATCCCATTTTCCTTAGCAAAGAAAAGAAACTATAGTCTGGTCTCAGCCAAAGTTATAACTGCGAGCAGAAGCCATTTGGGGAGTGTTTTCTTAAATTTTTATGTGCATCAGAATCACTACCTGGTCTGAGTGGAGCCTGGCAGTTGCGTGTTTAAGAGGGAACCATGTTATTTTGATGTTTACCAAAAAGTTTAGGAAACACTTCTCTCTCAATGCTTTTCAATCTTTAATGTACACACACATTACCTGGGGATTTTGTTAAAGTGAGGATTCTGAAGGTCTGAGGTGAGACTTGAGATTCTGCATTTCTAGCAAGCTCCCACGTGATGCTGATGCTGCTGGTCTGAGGACGACATGGCTTAAAATATTGTCCCCGTTTTGTTTTATTTGAACATTTTTATGGATATATAATTGTTTTACATATTTATGGGGGTACATGTGATATTTTGATTTAAGCATACAATATGTAATGAACAAATCAAGGTAATTGAGATATCCATCACCTTAAACATTTATCATTTTTTTGTGTTGGGAACATTCCAATTCCACTTTTTTAGTAATTCTTAAATATACAGTAAATTATTGTTAACTATAGTCATGCTATTGTGCTACTGAGCATTAGATCTTATTCCTTCTAACTAACTATATTTTTGCACCCATTAACGTATCCCTACCTATTCCTCCCCACACTACCCTTCTCAGCCTCTGGTAGCCATCATTCTACTCTCTATCTCCATGATATCAATTTTTATAGCTGCCAAATATGAGCAAGAACATGCAATATTTATGTGCCTGGTTTATTTCACTTAACATAATGTCCTCCAAGTTGCATCCATCTTGCTGCAGATGACAGGATTGTATTCTTTTTTATGGCTGATAATATTCCACTGGGTATATGTACCACATCTTCTTTATCCATTCATCTGTTGATGGACATTAGGTTGATTCCATATCTTGGCTAGTGTGAGGAGTGCTGCAATAAACATGGGAGTACAGATATCTCTTCAATATGCTGATTTCCTTTCTTTTAGATATATACTCAGCAGTGGGATTACTGCATCATGTGGTAGTTCTATTTTTAGTTTTTTGAGGAACCTCAATACTGTTCTCCACAGTGGCTCTAGTAACTTAAATTCCCATCAACAATGCAGGAGCATTCTCCTTTTCCTACATCCTTGCCAGGATTCATTATTCTTATTATTCTTTGATCTTTTTATTTATTTATTTACTTTTTTATTATACTTTAAGTTTTAGGGTACATGTGCACAACGTGCAGGCTTGTTACATATGTATACATGTGCCATGTTGGTGTGCTGCACCCATTAACTCATCATTTACATTAGGTATATCTCCTAATGCTATCCCTCCCGCCTCCCACCACCCCACAACAGGCCCCGGTGTGTGATGTTCCCCTTCCTGTGTCCAAGTGTTCTCATTGTTCAGTTCCCACCTGTGAGTGAGAACATGTGGTGTTTGGTTTTTTGTCCTTGCAATAGTTTGCTGAGAATGATGGTTTTCAGCTTCATCCATGTCCCTACAAAGGACATGAACTCATCCTTTTTTATGGCTGCATAGTATTCCATGGTGTATATGTGCCACATTTTCTTAATCCAGTCTGTCATTGTTGGACATTTGGGTTGGTTATTTTTTGATCTTTTTGACAAAAGCCATTTTAACTGGGGTGAGATGATATCTCATTGTGGTTTTGATTTGTATTTCTCTGATGATTAATGATGTTGAACATTTTTTCATACGTCTGCTTGCCATTTGTATGTGTTTTTTGAGAAATGCCTATCAGATTTTTGCCCATTTAAAAACTGAATTATTAGATTTTTTTTTCCTGTGGAGTTGTTTGAGCTCCTTATATATTCTGGTTAATAATCCCTTGTCAGTTGAATAGTTTGCAAGTATTTTGTCTTATTCTGTATGCTGTGGTATAATACTTTTGGTATTATTTCTTCTGTAAATATTTGGTGGAATTCAGCAGTAAAGGCACCAGATTTTAAGCTTTTTTTTTGCTGGGAAACTTTTTATTACTGCTTCCCCCTTGTTACTCGTTTATTCAGGTTTGCATGTCTTCATGGTTCAGTCTTGGTATGTTGTATGTGTCTAGGAATTTATTCATTTCTTTTAAGTTTCTAATTTATTGGCATATGGTTTCTCATAATAGTCTCTAAAGAACCTTTAAATTTCTGTGGTATCAGTTGTAATTTCTCCTTTTTTGTCTCTGATTTTATTTATTTGAGTCTTCTTTCTTAGTCTGGCTAGTTGTTTTTCAATTTTGTTTGTGTTTCAAAAAGCCAGTGTTATGATTCATTGATTCTTTGTATTTTTTTAAGTCTTAATTGCATTTATTTCGGTTCTGATCTTTATTATTTCCTTTCTTCTACTAATTTTTGGTTTGGTTTGCTTTTGGTTTTTTAGATCTTTAAGATGGATTGTTGGGTTGTTTAAATCTTTACTTTTTTTGATATTGGCTTTAATTGCTATATCTTCCCTTTTAGTATTGCTTTTGCTGTATCCTATAGGTTTTGGTATATTGTGTTTCCATTTTCATTTTGTTTCAAGAAATTTTTAAATTTTCTTCTTAATTTCTCCATTGACCCAATGATCATTTAGAAGCATATTGTTTAATTTTCCTGTATTTGTATTATTTCCAAAATTCCTCGCATTATTGAGTTCTAATTTTATTCCATTGTGGTCAGAGAAGATACTTGAAATGATTACAATTTTTGAAGAAATTTTTTGAGACTTGTTTTGTGATCTAGCATTGAGAATGTTCCATGTGCCAAGGAGAAGAATGTGTATTGTGCAGCTGTTGGAAAAAAATGTTCTATAATATAAATGCCTATTAGGTCCATTTAGTCTGTAGTGCAGATTAGGTCTGATGTTTCTTTGCTCATTTTCTGTCCAGATGATCTGTCCAACACTGAAAGTGGGATGTTGAAGTCCCCAACTCTTATTGTATTTGGACCTATCTCTTTAGCTCTAGTAAAATTTGCTTTAGACATATGGGTGCTTCAGTGTTGTGTGCATTAAATATTTACAATTGTTATATTTTCTTGCTGAATTGGCCCCTTTTGTTATTATATAATGACTTTCTTTTTATCGCTTTTGTCCTGAAATCTAGTTTTATCTGATATAAATATAGCTACTCCTGCTTGTTTTGGGTTTCTTTTTGCATGGAATATTTTTTTCCATCCCTTCATTTTCAGTCTGTTTGTGTCTTCATAGGTGAAGTTGGTTCCTTGTAGGCAGCATATAGTTGGATCTTGTATCTATAAATATATATATAATATATATATTTGGAGCTTCCATATTTTATATATATATATATATATATATATATATATATATATATATATATTTTTTTTTTTTTTTTTTTTTTTTTTTTTTTTGGGGGAGGCAGTGTCTTACTATGTTGCCCAGGTTTCAAACTCCTGGTCTCAAGTGGTTCTTTCACCTTGGCCTCCCAAAGTGCTGGGACTACAGGTGTGCACCACTGTGTAAGGTCTTGTTTTTTTTGTTAAATTCATTCAGCCACTCTATGTCTTGATTGGATAATTTGGTCCATTTACGTTCAATATTATTGTTAGGTAAAGACATACTACTGCTGTTTTGTTACTTGTTTCTTGGTTGTAATGTTAGTCATTTCTTCCCTTCTTCTTGTCTTCCTTGGTGTTTGAGTAATTTTTCTCTGGTAGTATGTTTTAATTTCTGGCTTTTTATTTTTATGTTTCTATTATAGGTTTTTGCTTTGTGATTACCATGAGGCTTGCAAATAACACCTTTTAATCAATTATTGTAAACTGATGATAGCTTTAACTCTGATCACAATTAAAAGAAAAAAGAGCAATCAAAGAGAAAATAAAAAACTCTACATTTAATCTGTATCCCTCCTGTGTTTTGACTTTTTGTAGTCTCAGTTTATATTTTTTATATTGTCTATTTCTTAACAAATTGTTGTAGTTATTGTTTTTGATAGGTTTGTCTTTTAGTCTTCATACTAAAGATATGAGTGGTTTATACACTGCAATTACAGTGTTGGAGTATTCTCTATTTGTACTTACTTTTACAGTGAGTTTTATACCTTCAGATGATTTATTGCTGCTTGTTAGCATTCTTTTCTTTCAGATTGAAGAACTCCCTTTAGCATTTCTTGTAAAACAGGTCTAAAGTTGGTTTAAATCCCTCAGCTTCTATTTGTCTGGGAAAGTTATTATTTCCCCTTCATGTTTAAAAGATAACTTTGCTAGATATAATATTCTAGGTCAAGGGATTTTTTTTCTTCATCACTTTGAGCATGTTATTCCATTCCCTTCTGGCCTGTAAGGTTTCCTCTGAGAAGTCTGCTGCCAGACATATTGGAGCTCCTTCATATGTTATTTGCTTTTCTCTTGCTGCTTTTAGGATCCCCCCTTTGTCCTTGATCTTTGAGAGTTTGATTATGGTATATCTTGATGTAGTCCTAAGTGGGTTGAATTTTCTTGGTGTTCTTTGACCTTCTTGTATCTGGATATTCATATCTTATTGTTTCTTTAAATAAACTTTCTACTCAGATCTCTTTCTCTAGACCAAAAACTTTTGATTTGCCCTTTTGAGGCTATTTTCTAGATTTTGTAGGCTTACTTAATTTTTTAAATTCTTTTTTTCTCCTATGACTGTATTTTCATATAGTCTGTCTTTGAGCTCACTAATCCTTTCTTCTGCTTGATCAATTCTTCTGTTGAGACTCTGATGCATTTTTCAGTTGGTCAGTTGAATTTTTTGGCTCCAGAATTTCTGTTTGATTTTTAAAAATTATTTCAATCTCTATGACAAATTTATGTGATAGAATTCTGATGAATACCTCCTTTGTGTTACCTTAAAGTTCGTTGAACTTCCTCAAGATAGCTCTTTTGAATTCCCTGACTGAAAGGTATCTTTGTCACTCCAGGATTGGTCACTGGTGCCTTATTTAGTCTGTTTGATAAGGTCACGTTTCCCTAGATTTTCTTGATGATTGTTGATGTCTGAGCATTGAAGTTAGGTATTTATCCCAGTCTTTGCAGTCTGGCCTTGTTTGTACCTGTCCTTGAGAGGGCTTTCCCAGAATTCAATGGGGATTGAGTGTTGTTACCAAAGCCTGTGGTCATTGAAGCTGTTTTAGCACTAGAGGGCACCCTAAACTGAGGAACACTGTGATTTTTGCAGACTCCTAGATACACAGCCTTGGTGTACTTGGTGGATTTGGGGAAGATAAGGGAGACTTCTCCAGGTTCCAGGTGAAGTCTGTTGCTCTTCTCTTTCACTTTCCTTCAAGGAGAAGGAGTTGGTGATATGGTTTGGCCCTGTGTTCCCACCGAAATCTCATCTTGAATTGTAGCTCCCATAATTCTCTCATGTTGTGGGAGGGACCCAGTGAGAGATAATTGAATCATGGTGGCAGTTTCCCCCATACTGATCTCATGGTAGTGAATAAATCTCATGTGATCTGATGGTTTTATAAGGGGAAACCCCTTTTCCTTGGCTCTCATTCTCTTCTCTTGTCTGCCGCCACGTGAGAAGTGCCTTTAGCCTTCTGCCACGGTTGTGAGGTCTCCCCAGCCAAGTGGAACTGTGAGTCCATTAAACCTCTTTCTTTTGTAAATAGCCCCGTCCTTGGGTATGTCTTTATTAGCAGTGTGAAAATGGACTAATACAGTCAGTCTCTGCACTGAACTGGAGTTGGGGAGGGGTGACGTGGGCACTCCCATGGCCACCACAGCTGGCACTGATTGGGTCACACCTGAAACTTATGACCTTCCAGATGAACACAGTACTGGGACTTGCCCAAGACCCACAGCCACTACTTCCTGCCTGCCTGCTGCTGCTGTTTATTCAAGACCAAAGAAGGGCACTTTAGGTAAAAGGGCATAGTTGGTGAATCCTGCTGGGACAGGGTCCATCCCACCAGGTCAGCAGATTGGTCTAGAAACACCACCCAGGAACAAAGGCTTGGAACTGGGAGCTTTAGGAATCTGCCTGTTGCTTTATTTTACTAGGCTGAGCTGATCCTCAGGTTGCAAAACAAAGTCCTCTGTACTATTTCCTCTCCTTCTCCCAAGCGGAAGGAATTTCTCCCTGCACTGCACTGCACTGCACTGCACTGCACTGCACTGCACTGCCTGGAGTTAGGGAGAAGTGATGCAGGCACTCCTGTGGTCACTGCAGATGGTGTTGCATGGGGTTGCACCCCAAGTCCACTGCCTCTGTGACCAGTGCAGCACCAGGGCTTGCCCAAGGACTATGATCTTAATCGCTGTGGCCTGACTGCCATTCAAATTTATTTGGGTCCCCAGGCCACTTTAGTCAGCTGGTGCTGAAGCTGGCCAGGATTAGAGTTCCTTCTGCTGGGGTGGGAAATTCCCCTCTGGCCCAGGGCTTGTCTAAATGCTCCCTCTGTGGGCACTGGCAGAACTCTGCCTGGTATTGTATTCCACTGTGATAGGGTGGTACTGAATTCCAGTGAAGAATCCCACACATAATTTGCTCTCCCTTCCCCAGGTGCTCAGGTTATCCCTTTGTGCTGTGTTGCCTGGGGTTGTGGGAGGGGTGGGGTAGGCACTGCAAGACTGTCCTTCCTACCCTCTTCAATGCCTCTTTCTTTGTTACTATGTTAAAACCAGATACACTATCTTTGTTATTATGTTAAAACCAGATCATAGTATCACTCAACTGAACTTTGGGTTCGTATGAAGGTGCTTTCTTGCAAGGATAGTTGCTCAGTCTGTTGTTCCTCGGGAGGGGATGGGCAATTGCTGGAGGATTCTATTTGACTATCTTGCTCTGCCTCCTCAAGGACTACGTTTTGAATAGCAAGACTGAGAACAAGTACCAAAGTCTGGGGGAAAAAGAGAGGGGGTGAGAGAGAAATCCTAGTATGGTTATGGTTACATAGGAAATGATGGCAAATCCCAGGAGTGGGAGAATTGGAAAAAGCTGTATCTGCTGTTTTCCTCCGTTTTATGTGCAGGAAACTTAGCTTAATGTAGAATCACCTGCCATACATAGGCAGTTACAGATTCCTGGGTTCCACCCTTGACTTACTAAATCAGAATCCCCAGGGAGGGTTTTGGGAGTTCACATTTTAAAAAAGCACCCCAAGTGATCTGTGTCATTAGATAAGTTTGGGAAACATTGACAAGAGTGTTGAGGAGAAAGTCAATTAAAAACTAAGCTAGTTTAAGATTAAATTTTAGAATAGATCACCGAAAACTATGTGTGATATAAGGAAATTTTCTCAGTCACCTGTAATTGTTTTCCTTATTGCTTGAAGAAATTTTCCATTTTATTGAATGCATTTTAGAGTTTTAAATACAAAACTTACATTATGTTTTATAGATTTAAGTTCAGAAAACTAGGAAAACAGTGGAGGTGAGAGAAAGTGGTAACAAAAAATTGAATGAAGATCCTTTAAAAAATGTGAGCTAATGAAAAATTTGAGTCTATGGAAAGAAAAGTGGCATTAGCAAATGAAACATTAAATGCTTACTACATGTTGTACTAGAAAATCATTGAAACCCTGATGAGCTCTGGATTTTAATGGTGTTCATTGAAAATCAGTGTTAAGCTTTAATAGATTACCAGAAAAATGTCTCTTGGTGTGCTTTGCAAAGTTGAAAATATTGATTAATGTGGTGACCAATTTCATCATATTAGGGGCCACAGAGATGTTTTAATTGTGGTTCTGAGAACATATAATTGACTACACCATTTTAAAGCTTGTATACGTATGGTGGTAAATACATCCATATTGTTATGCAGTCATCACCACCATCTATCACCAGAACTCTTTCATCTTGCAAAACTGAAAGCATTTCCATTAAACACTAACTCCCCATTCCATTCTCCCCTTAACCCCTGGCAATCACCATTCTACTTTTTGTCTCTATGGTTTTGACTACTATAAGTACCTCATATAAGTGGAATCATACCATAAGTCTTTTTGTATCATCTTCCACCTTTAAAACAGGGAAAATTAGTCTTTTGCCCTAGTGTCTCTTTCTTGTGCCTTCTCCATCTTTCTAATTATATATATTTGGTGTCATGCCCTCATATACCCTTTGTCTTACCACTCTTTTCTCTTTTCCCACATGAAAAACTTTTCAAAATGTTGATCAGAAAGACAGACTAAACACATATTTGTTCTCATTGAACTGTCAAGGATTGCAGATCTTTCATGGGTGTTTTCTTAGTCGGGTGTTTTTAACAGAAGCAAATGATTAGCAGAGAAATAAATCTCAAACATCAGTGAATAAATGCAAGATATTTGTAGTCAGTAGAAAAGTATGGGTGGGGTAAAAATTCCAAAGCCCAGGCCACAGCTGAGACCAATTAAATCAGAATCTTGAGAGTGGGCTCTAGGCCTAAGTATTTATTTATTTATTTTTTACAGCTTCCATAGTGACTCTAATGTGTGACCACACTTGAGAATCATTGTGTAAAGTAGATGCAAAGACAGCAGCTCTGAGCCATGCTTGGACATTAGAATCAACTGGGAGCTGAAAAAAAATATTGCCCAGTGCCCGAGCCCTGTCTCAGGCCAATTAAATCAGAATATTTGGGAATAGAGGCTGGGCAATGATGTCTGTTTAAAAAGCCCCCAAGTGATTCTAATATATAGGCAGGATTGAGAAGCACTGAACTAAAACATAAAAAAGCAGGCCCCCAAATTGAGTTTCTGAATAATTTTTTTCAACCTTCAAACAAAAATAATCTTTATGCTTCATACATACTTTCTGCTTATGAAAAATGGAATGCTATTAGAAAACAAAGTGGTGAAAATGGAATGATACTGAATTTTAAAGGAAATGTGGACAAGTAGCAGAGGCTGAAGACAGAAATAGGTGACTTTTATGTTAGATTTTTAGTTTTTATTACAAAACTAATTTGCATTTAGTACAAATCCTTTTAAAATAGGAATAAATGAATGATAATAAAAGTGATCAGATATAACCACCCTTAACTTTTTGAGATATATCATTTATCTTTTTTGTATTTTGTATTTCCATATTTAAATTTATTCCTATAGTACATAGTGTTAAAAAACATTATTGTGGAGAATTAAAAAAATAATTTCAACTTTTATTTTAGATTCCGGGGGGTACATGTGCTGTTTTTTTACATGAGTATATTGCATGATACTGAGGTTTGGGGTGCAACTGATCCTGTCACCCAGGTAGTGAGCACAGTACACAGTTGTTAGTTTTTCAACCATTGCTCCCCCTACCCCCATAGTATTTCTCACCGTAAATTGTTGCCATCTTTATGTCCATGAGTACCCAGTATTTAGCTTCCACTTAAAAGTCGAAAACACATGGCATTTGGTTTCCTGTTCCTACATTAATTCACTTAGGATAATGGTCTCCAGCTGCATCCATATTGCTGCAAATGACATGATTTCATTATTGTGGAGAATTTTGCACATATATAAAAGCAGACTGATAGTATAACGATCTTCCATTACTCAATCACTTCACTTCTATAATTGTTGACTCATGGTCCATATTCTTTTATCTAAACCCTAATTCACTTCCCCCATCATGAATTATTTTTGAAGCAAATCAAAGGCAGTACAGTATATCATTCGTTCATAAGTAGCTTAGGTTTTTTTCTCAGTTAATATATTGTGAATATTTTTCCATTTCACTAAATATTTTCCTATTCATTTTTAATGTCTGTATAGTATTTCATCATATGAATTTATCATTATTCATTTAAACAATCTCCTACTTTCTTTCTTTTTTTTTTTTGAGATGGAGTCTCGCTCTGTCACCCAGGCTGGAGTGCAGTGGCGCGACCTCGGCTCACTGCAAGCTCTGCCTCCCGGGTTCACACCATTCTCCTGCCTCAGCCTCCTGAGTAGCTGGGACTATAGGTGCCCACCACCACACCCGCCTAACTTTTTTTTTTTTTGTATTTTAGTAGAGACGAGGTGAAACCATGTTAGCTAGGATGGTCTGGATCTCCTGACCTCGTGATCCGCCCACCTCGGCCCTCCTAAGGTGCTGGGATTACAGGTGTGAGCCACCTCCCCAGCCAACAATCTCCTACTTTCTTTTTCTTCTAACTCTGGAAACTTAAAGTTTGTTTATCATTAATACTCTTTATCATTAACATTCTTTTTCTTTTCTTTCTTTCCTTTTTTTTTTTTGTAGTGCCCTAAAGTCGATTTTTTCTTTTATGTTGTTAGGCACTTAGCAGCCCTGAGTTCTGTGGAGTGAGCCGTTAACATTGCTTCTTTAATTTTACCTAACTTCTCTCACTTTTTCCTTCCTCCAACATCTTTTCCAATACCTTCTTTACCCTTTACTTTTAGCCTCTTTGAGATAGGCACAAGAGTCAAGAAGTCAAGAAATCAGTTGATATTTGTAAATTGCCCACCCTTGGGGATATAAAATAGGTAAGACATCTGACCTCTAAGAAACTTAAACATTGTAACTGTATTATTTGAAGACATGCTCTAATATCAACAAGTGATCATGATAAATTAGAACATTTCTTTTACTCAGGATCAGGATATACGTCATGTAAAGGTCTCATTTGAGTTGTGTTTGTATTAGGATATACTACCAGGAGTAGTAGAATGAGTAGTATTTAGGACATCGATTTTCACTTGCTTCAATAGGTGATGTCTGTGTTCATCTTCAGTGAAAGGACAGGCCAAGGGTTAATCATAACTAAGTAAATGAAATTCTCAGAGGCATGAAGGAAATGTGATTTTTTGGTATTATTTCCTGGTTGTCCTGCTTTGCCTAGGATAGAATTTAATGAGAGGGTAGTTGACAATGCCAATGAACTTTCTCAAATGTTAGATGTCTTAAATGTGCTCTGAAAGTGGCTGCTTTTTATTCTATTTGGAATCGGCCTAAGCCTTTGGCTGTACACAATAGGCTCTGACTCTGAAACTAACAGAGGACATAACTGTGGCAGTCCCATGGTATCATAAAATATGTTAATCCACTCATAACTTGCCAAACTCAAGCATCTACAGAAAAAGAAAATATAGGATCTAATTGCAAATGAAATGACACAAAATGAGCTGAATCTTTATCCACTTTCCTTTTAAAATTTTAAATACTTTGTAATGATTTTTTTAAATTTTTTGTTTTTTTAATGGGAAACGAATTTTATTATAAGTCAGATCAGTCTCCCCAAGCATTCAGAGGTTTTTTTTTTTTTTAATTTAAGTTCTGGGATACATATGCAGAACGTGCAGGTTTGTTACATAGATATACATATGCCATGGTGGTTTGCTGCACCTTTTAACCCACCATCTAGGTTTTAAGCCCCACATGGATTAGGTATTTGCCCTAATGCTCTCCCTCCCCTTGTTCCCCAACCCCCGACAGGCCCCAGTGTGTGATGTTCCCCTCCCTGTGTTCTCATTGTTCAAATCCCACTTATGAGTGAGAACATGTGGTATTTGGTTTTCTGTTCCTGTGTTAGTTTGCTGAGAATGATGGCTTCCAGCTTCAGTCATGTCCCTGCAAAGGACATGAACTCTTTTTTTATGGCTGCATAGTATTCCATGGTGTACATATGCCACATTTTCTTTCTCCAGTCTATCACCGATGGGCATTTGGGTTGGTTCCAAGTCTTTGCTATTGTAAATAGTGCCGCAATAAACATACTTGTGCATGTGTCTTTATAGTAGAATGATTTATAATCCTTTGGGTATATACCCAATAATGGGATTGCTGGGTCAAATGGTATTTCTAGTTCTAGATCCTTGAGGAATCGCCACACAGTTTTCCACAATGGTCGAACGAATTTACATTCCCACCAACAGTGTAAAAGCGCTCCTATTTCTCCACATCCTCTCCAGCATCTGTTGTTTCCTGACTTTTTAATAATTGCCATTGTAACTGGTGTGAGATGGTATGTCACTGTGGTTTTGATTTGCATTTCTCTAATGACCAGTTATGATAAACTTTTTTTCATATGTTTGTTGGCCACATAAATGTCTTCTTTTGAGAAGTGTCTTTTCATATCCTTTGCCCACTTTTTGATGGGGTTGTTTTTTCTTGTAAATTTGTTTAAGTTCCTTGTAGATTCTGGATATTAGCCCTTTGTCAGATGGATAGATTGCAAAACTTTTCTCCCATTCTGTAGGTTGCCTGTTTACTCTGATGATAGTTTCTTTTGTTGTGGAGAAGCTTTTTGGTTTAATTAGATCCCATTTGTCAATTTTGGCTTTTTTTGCAGTTGCTTTTTGTATTTTAGCCATAAAGTCTTTGCCTATGCCTATGTCCTGAATGGTATTGCCTAGGTTTTCTTCTAGGGTGTTTATTATTTTAGGTTTTACATTTAAGTCTTTAATCCATCTTGAGTTAATTTTTGTATAAGGTGTAAGGAAGGGGTCCAGTTTTTGTTTTCTGCATATGGCTGGCGAATTTTCCCAGCACCATTTATTAAATAGAGAATCTTTTTTCCATTGCTTGTTTTTGTCAGGCTTGTCGAAGAGCAGATGGTTGTAGATGTGTGGTCTTATTTCTGAGGACTCTGTTCTGTTCTATTGGTCTATGTATCTGTTTTGGTACCAGTACCATGTTGTTTTGGTCACTGTAGCCTTGTAGTATAATTTTAAGTCAGGTAATGTGATGCCTCCAGCTTTGTTCTTTTTGCTTAGGATTTTCTTGGCTATACGAGCTCTTTTTTGGTTCCATATGAAATTTAAAGTAGTTTTTCTAATTCTGTGAAGAAAGCCAATGGTAACTTGATGGGAATAGCATTGAATCTATAAATTGCTTTGGGCAGTATGGCCATTTTCATGATATTGATTCTTCCTATCCATGAGCATGGAATGTTTTTCCATTTGTTTGTGTCATTGCTGATTTCTTTGAACAGTGGTTTGTAGTTCTCTTTGTAGAGATCTTTCATCTCCCTAGTTAGCTATATTCCTAGGTATTTTATTCTTTTTGTGACAATTGTGAATGAGAGTTTATTTGTGATTTGGCTCTTGGCTTGAGTGTTGGTGTATAGGAATGCTTGTGATTTCTGCACATTGATTTTGTATCCTGAAACTTTGCATAAGTTGTTTATCAGCTTAAGAAGCTTTTGGGCTGAGACGATGGGGTTTCCTAGATATAAGATTATGTCATCTGCAAACAAAGATAATTTGACTTCCTCTCTTCCTATTTGAATGCCAGTTATTTCTTTCTCTTGCCTTATTTCTCTGGCCAGGATTTCCAATACTATGTTGAATGGGAGTGGTGAGAGAGGGCATCCTTGTCTTGTGCTGCCTTTCAAGGGGAATGCTTCCAGCTATTGCCCATTCAGTATAGTGTTGGCTGTGGGTTTGTCATAGATTATTCTTATTATTTTGAGGTATGTTCCTTCAATACCTACTTTATTGAGAGTTTTTAACATGAATCAATGTTGAATTTTATCAAAAGTCTCCTCTGCCTCTATTGTGATAATTATATGGTTTTCGTCTTTAGCTCAGTTTATGTGATGAATCATATTTATTGATTTGCATGTCGAACCAACCTTGCAACCTAAGGATGAAGCCTACTTGATTGCTGTGGATTTGTTTTTGGATGTGTTGCTTGATTCAGTGTGCCAATATTTTGTTGATGGTTTTTGCATCAATGTCCATCAAGGATACTGGCCTGAAGTTTTTTGTTGTTGTTGTTGTATCTCTGCCAGGTTTTGGTATCAGGATGATGCTGGCCTCATAGAATGAGTTAAGGAGGAGTCCCTTGTCTTCAATCTTTTGAAATAGTTTCAGTAGGAATGGTACCAGTTCTTCTCTGGACATCTGGTAGAATTCAGCTGTGAATTGGTCTGGTCCTGGGGCTTTTTTTTTCGTTGGTAAACTGTTTATTACCACCTTAATTTCAGAGCTCATTATTAGTCTGTTCAGGGATTCAATTTCTTTCTGATTCAGTCCTGGGAGGGTATATATATCCAGGAATTTATCCATTTCTTCTAAATTTTCTAGTTTGTATGCATGGAAGTATTTATAATATTTTCTGATGGTTGTTTGCATTTCTGTCGGTTCACTGGTAATATCCCCCTTATTGTTTCTGATTATGTTCATTTGAATCTTCTTTATTTTCTTTTTTATTAGTCTAGCTAGTGCTCTATTTTATTATTTTTTTCAAAAAACTACCTTCTGAATTCATTGATTTTTTGAATATATTTTTGTGTCTCTATCTCCTTCAGTTCAGTTCTGGTCTTGGTTATTTCTTGTCTTCTTCTAGCTTTGGAGTTTGTTTGCTCTTGGTTCTCTAGTTCTTTTAGTTGTGAAGTTAGGTTGTTAACTTGAGATCTTTCTCACTTTCTGATGTGGGCATTTAGTGTTATAAATTTCCTTCTTAACACTGCCTAAGCTGTGTCCCAGAGATTCTGGTATGTTGTATTTTTGTTCATTAGTTTCAAAGAACTTCTGGATTTCTGCCTTAGTTTCATTATTTACTGAAGAGTCATTCAAAAGCAGGTTATTCAATTTCCATATAATGGTATGGTTTTGAGTGAATTTCTTAGTCTTGATTTCTATTTTTATTTCACTGTCCAAGAGACTGTTATAATTTCAGTTCTTTTGCATTTGCTGAGGAGAGTTTTACTTCAGATTATGTGATCAATTTAGAGTAAGTGCCATGTGATGATGAGAAGAATGTATGTCCTGTCGTTTTGAGGTGGAGAGTTCTGTAGATATCTATCTATTTGATTCAGTGCTGAGTTCAGGTCCTGAATATCTTTGTTAATTTTCTGTCTCAGTGATCTAATATTGTCAGTGTGGTGTTAAAGTCCCCCACCATTATTATGTGGAAGTCTAGATCTCTTTGAAAGTCTCTAAGAACTTGCTTTATGAATCTGGGTGATCCTGCATTGAGTGTATATATATTTAGGATAATTAGATCTTCTTGTTAAATTGAACACTTTACCTTTATTTAATGCCCTTCTTTGTCTTTTTTGATCTTTGTTGGTTTAAAGTCTCTCTTGTCAGAAACTAGGATTGCAACCCCTGCCTTTTTCTGTTTTCTGTTTGCTTGGTAGATTTTTCTTTATCCCTTTATTTTGAGCCTATATGTGTCATTGCATGTGAGACAGGTCTCTTGAAGATAGCATACCAATGGATTTTGGTTCTTTATCCAGCTTGCCACTCTGTATTATTTAATTGGGCATTTAGCTCATTTACATTTAAGGTTAGTATTGATATGTGTGGATTTGATCCTGTCATCATGATGCTAGCTGGTTATTATGCTGGCTTGTTTATGTGGTTGCTTTATAGTGTCACTGGTCTGTGTACTTCAATGTGTTTTTGTAGTGGCTGGTAACAGTCTTTCCTTCCCATAGTGCTTCCTTCAGGAGCTCTTGTAAGGCAGGTCTGGTGGTAACAAATTCTCTCAGCGCTTGCTTCTCTGAAAAGAATCTTATTTCTTCTTCACTTATGAAGCTTAGTTTGACTGGATATGAAATTCTTGGTTTGTATTTATTTTCTTTAGGAATGTTGAATATTGGCACTCAGTTTCTTCTGGCTGTAGGGTTTCAGCTGAGAGGTTCACTGTTTTCTGATGGGTTTTCTTTTCTTTCTAACTGTTTTTAACATTTTTTTCTTTCATTTCAACCTTGGAGAATCTGTTGATTATGTGTCTTGGGGATGATCTTATCATGAAGTATATTACTGGTGTTCTCTGGATTTCCTGAATTTGAATATTGGCCTCTCTTGTAGGTTGGGGAAGTTTTAATGGATGATATCATAAAATATGTTTTCCAAATCGGTTCCATTCTCTCCATCTCTTTCAGGTACACCAATCCGTTTTAGATTCAGTCTCTTTATATAATTTCATATTTCTTGATGGTTTTGTTTGTTCCTTTTCATTCTTTTTTCTCTAATTTTGTCTGCCTTCTTATTTCAGAAATCCAGTCTTCAAGTTCCGAAATTCTTCCCTCTGCCTGGTCTATTCTGCTATTAATACTTATTATTGCATTATGGAATTCATGTAGTGTGTTTTTCATCTCTATTGGGTCAGTTATGTTCTTCTCTATACCGGCTATTTGGTCTGTCAGCTCCTGCAATGTTTTATCATAATTTTTAGCTTTCTTGCATTGGGTTGCAATGTCCTCCTTTAGCTTAGTGAAGCTCATTCCTATCCATATTCTAAATTCTACTCCTGTCATTTCAGTCATCTCAGCCTCAGCCTAGTTCTGAACCATTGCTGGAGAGGTGGTGCAGGTTATTTGGAGGAAAGAGGGTACTCTGTTTTTTTAGTTTTTAGTGTTCTTGAACTGACTTTTTTTTCCTCATCTTTGTGGGCTTATCTACTGTAACTCCTTGAGGTTGCTGACCTTTGGATTTTTTTTTTTCTTTTAACAATCTGCCACTTTTCTGTAGGGCTGCTGTCTGGGGTCTGCTCCAGTTTCTGGGGGTATGCTCCAGTTTCTAGTCACCTTGGATTTTCCAGTACCTGGAGGTATCACCAGTGAAGGCTGTGAAACAGCAAAGATGGTAGCCTGCCTCTTTCTCTGGGAGCTCTGTCCCAGGAAGGTATAGACCTATTGCTGGTCTAAAGGCACCTGTATGAAGTGGCTGTAGACCCTGGTTGGGACCAGGTAAACCCTGGGAGGGCCTCCAGTGAGGGTTGGGAGGTCCTGCCCAGTGAGGAGGAATGGACTGGGGACTTGCCTAAAGGAGCAGTCTGCTCACATTTTGGTAGAGCAGCTGTGCTGTGCTGGGGGACCCCTTTTACTCCCAGTTAGTTTGGATTCTCCAAAGCCCACAGGATAGAAGGGTCCAAAGGGTGGAAGGGCCAAGTTGCCTAAACAGCAAAGATGGCCACCTGCCCCTCCCACTGGGAACTCTATCCCAGGTAGGTGCAACACTGCTGCCAGTGGCTGGCTGGAATTTCAAGCCAGTGGATCTTATCCTGTAAGGTGCCATGGGAGTGGGGCCTGCAGACTGTTGCCCCTTGGTGCCCTGGATTCAGTCTCTTTCCCTGGGATATGTAGGGGGGTGTAATCTCCTGCTTTGCCAGAGTTTCAGTTACTTTTGCTGGGAAGCCCAGAGCTGAAGTATCTAAAGCTCCTGGGTCTCCGTGCTTGCCTGAGTGACTGCTCTGCCAAGACTCCAAATATCTCTCTGTGTCAGACTGTAGGCCCTGGTGGAGTCGGTTTGTGAGGGGTTCTCCTGACCCAAGAGTTGTAAAGCTTTGTGGGAAAAGCATGGTTTCCTGGGGTCGCACATTCACTCACTGCGTCCTGGGTCGGGGAGGTTCCCCAGGCTCCTGGGTTTGCCATCATACTGCCTTGCTTTTTTCTGTTCTCTGTGGGTCGAGTTGTTTCCTTGATTAGTCTCAGTGTGAGTACCTGGATGTTTCAGTTGAAGGTGCTGAATTTATGCACCCCTTTCATTCTTCTCTGTGAGAGCCACTCACCCTAGCTTCTTCTAGTTGGCCATCTTGACCACTTCCCGTGTTTTTTTTCAGATTGTTCACTGTTGGCCTATAGAAATACTTTTTGTTGTGTTTTGTTTTGTTTTATTGAGACACGGTCCTGCTGTGTCACCCAGGCTGAAGTACAGTGGTGTGATCTCAGCTCACTGCAACCTTCACCCCCTTGGGGTCAAGCGATCCTCCCACCTCAGCCTCCCGGGTAGCTGGGACTACAGGCGTGTGCCACCATGCCTGGCTAATGGCTAATTTTTGTATTTTTTGTAGAGACAGGGTTTCATCATGTTGCTCAGGCTGGTCTCTAATGTCTGGACTCAAGCTATCTGCCCACCTTGGCCTCTCAAAGTGCCAAGGTTACTGGCATGAGGCACTGTGCCCGGCCAGAAATGCTACTGATTTTTGGATGCTGATTTTGTGTCTTGAAACTTTACTGAACTTATCAGTTCTATGGTTTTCTTGGTGGAGTCTTCAGGTTTTTCCAAATATAAGATTATGTCACCTGCAAACAAGAATAATTTGACTTCCCTTTCAACTTGGATGCCTTTTGATTCTTTCTCTTGTCTGATTTCTCTAGCTATGACTTCCCATACTATGTTGAATAATGCTGGTGAAAGTGGGCATCCTTGTCTTGTTTCATATCTTAGTGGAAAGATTTTCAGTTTTTCCCTATTCAGCATGATACTAGCTGTGGGTCAATTGTCTATGGCTTTTATTGTGTTGAGGTATGTTTCTGCTGTACTCAGTTTTTTCAGGGTTTTTATCTTAAAGGAATGTTGAATTTTATCCAATACTTTTTTCAGCATCAATTGAAATGATCATAAAGTTTCTGTCCTTTATTCTGTTGATATATCACATTGATTGATTTGCATATGTGTTGAACCGTCATTGTATCCCTGGGATGAATCCTTCTAGGTCGTGACTAATGGTCCTTTTAATGTGTTATTTTTATTTCTATTATTATTATTTTTTTTGAGACAGAGTCTCGCTCTGTCGCCCAGGCTGGAGTGCAGTGGTGCAATCTCGGCTCACTGCAAGCTCCGCCTCCCGAGTTCACGCCCTTCTCCTGCCTCAGCCTCCTGAATAGCTGGGACTACAGGCACCTGCCACACCACGCCTGGCTAATTTTTTTGTATTTTTAGTAGAGACGGGGTTTCACTGTGTTAGCCAAGATGGTCTCGATCTCCTGACCTCGTGATTCACCCATCTTGGCCTCCCAAAGTGCTGGGTTTAATGTGTTACTGAATTTGGTTTGCTAGTCTTCTGTTGAGAATTTTTGCATAAATATTTAGCAGAGATATTGGCCTGTAGTTTTTTGTTTTTTTTTTTCTAATGTGTCTTTGTCTGGTTTAGTATCAGGGTAATACTGGCATCATAGAATTAGTTTGGAAATATTCCTTTCTCTGTTTTTTGGAATAGTTTGATTAAGTTTGGTAGTAGTTCTTTAAATATTTGGTAGATTTCAGTAGTGATGCCATCAGGTCCCAGGCTTTTCTTTACTGGGAGACTTTTTATTATGGTTTTGATCTTGTTACTTGTTATTGGTCTATTCAGGTTTTGAATTTTTTCATGGTTCAAACTTGGTAGGTTGTATGGGTCTAGGAATTTATAAATTTCTTCTATATTTTCCAATTTATTGGCATATAGTTGCTCATAGTAGCCACTAATGATACTTTGAATTTTTGTGGTATCAGTTGCAATGTCTCCTTTTTCATCTCCAATTTTATTTATTTGGGTCTTCTCTCTTTTTTGCTTAGTCTCACTAAAGGTTTGTCAATTTTGTTTATGTTTTCAAAAAAACCAACATTTCATTTCGTTAATCTTTTGTATTTTTTTGTTTCAATTATGTTTATTTCCGCTCTGATCTTTATTATTTCTTTTCTCCTACTAATTTTAGATTTAGTTTGCTTTTGTTTTTCTAGTTTTTAAAGATGCATCATTCGGTTGTTTATTAAAAGTTTTTCTGCTTTTATTGATGTAAGTGGTTATTGCTATGAACTTTGTTCTTGGTACTGCTTTTGCTGTATCCCATAGATTTTAGTATGTTGTGTTTCTATTTTTGTTTGTTTTAAGAAATTTTTAAATTTTCTTCATAATTTCTTCACTGACTCACTGGTCATTCAGGAGCATATTGTTTAATCTCCAGGTATTTGTATAGTTCTCAAAGTATCTCTTGTTATTGATATCTGGTTTCATTCCATTGTAGTCAGAGAAAATACTTGATATAATTTCAATTTTCTGAACGTTTTAAGATTTGTTTTGTGGCCTAACATATAGTCTATCCTTGAGATTGATCCATGTGCTAAGGAGAAGAATGTGCATTCTGCAGCCATTGGTTAAAATATTCTGTAAATATCTATTAGGTTTATTTGGTTTATAGTGCAGATTAGGTCCAATATTCCTAGGCTGATTTTCTGTCTGGATGATCAGTCTAATATTGAAAGTGGGGTATTGAAGTCTCCATGTGTTGTATTGGGGTTGATCTCTGTTTTTAGCTCTAATAATATTTGCTTTTATATATCTGAGCACTCCAGTGCTGGATGCCTATATGTTTACAACTTTTGTATCCTCTTATTGAATTGACCCCTTTATCATTACATCATGCCCTCTTTGTCTCTTATTTATAGTGCAGATTAGGTCCAATATTCCTTGGTTGATTTTCTGTCTGGATGATCAGTCTAATACTGAAAGTTGGGTATTGAAGTCTCCATGTATTGTATTGGGGTTGATCTCTCTTTTTAGCTCTAATAATATTTGCTTTTATATATCTGAGCACTCCAGTGCTGGATGCATATATGTTTACAACTTTTGTATCCTCTTATTGAATTGACCCCTTTATCATTACATAATGCCCTCTTTGTCTCTTATTCTAGTTTTGTCTTGAAATTTATTTTATCTGATACAGCTACTACTGCTTTTTTTTTTTTTTTGGTTTTCATGTGCATGGAATATCTTTTTCCATCCCTTATTTTCAGCCCATGTGTGTCTTTGTAGGTGAAGCATGTTTCTTGTAGGCAACAGGTCATTTGGTCTTGTTTTTAAAATCTGTTTAGCCACTCTATGCTTTTGAGTAGAGAGATTAGTCCATTTACATTCAATGTTATTATTGATAAGTATAAACTTACTACATTCATTTTTGTTATTTGTTTTCTGTTTCCTTCCTTCCTTCCTTCCTTCCTTCCTTCCTTCCTTCCTTCCTCTTCCTTTTTGTGAAAGTGATTTTCTTTGGTGGTATCTTTAATTTCTTGCTTTATATGTGTTTTGTGTATCTGTTGTAGGTTTTTTGATTTAAAGTTATCATGAGGTTTGCAAATAACATCTTATAACCTATTATTTTAAACTGATGACAACTTAACTCTGATTACAAAAACAAACAAGCAAAGCGAAAAGTAACAAAACCTTTATACTTTAACATCATCTCCCCTGCTTTTCAACTTTTTGTTTATTTACATCTTATTTTACTATCTATATCTTGACAATTTGTAGTTATTATTTTTGATAGGTTCATTTTTAATCTTCCTACTCAAGATATAAGTAGTTTACACATCACAATTACTATGTTATAATAGTCTATATCTATTTACTTACTGTTACCAGTAGCTTTGTACCATCAGATGATTTCTTATTGCTCATTAACATCCTTTTTTTTCAGATTGAAGAATTCCCTTTATCTTTTCTTGTAGGAAGGACTAGTGCTGACAAAAATCTTTCAATTTTTGTTTGTCTGGGAAAGTCTTTATTTCCCCTTCATGTCTGAAGGATATTTTTGCTAGATGTACTATTCTAGGGTAAAAGTGTTTTTTTACATATATCATGCGACTCTCATCTGGCCTGTAAGGTTTCCACTTAAAAGCCTGCTGCCAGACATATTGGAGCTCCTTTTTCTGTTATTTTTTTTCTGTTCTCTTGCTGCTTTTAGGATCCTTCCTTTATCCTTGACCTTTGGGAGTTTGACTATTAAATGTCTTGAGTCAGTCTTTTTTGGGGCTAAATCTGATTGGTGTTGTATAACCTTCTTGTACTTGAGTGTTGATATCTTTCTGTAGGTTTGGGAAGTTCTCTGATATTATTCTTTTGAATAAACTTTCTACCCCAATCTCTCTGTCTAACTCCTCTTTAAGGCCAATAACTTTAGATTTTCTCCTTTGAAGCTGTTTTCTAGATCTTGTAGATAATTTTTTAAAAATTCTTTTTCTTTTGTCTCCTCTGAATATGTATTTTCATATAGCCTGTTTCAAGCTTATGAATTCTTTCTTCTACTTGATTAGTTCTGTTGTTAAGAGACTCTTGTGCATTCTTCAGTATGCCCATTGCAGTTTTCAGCTCCAGAATTTTTGCTTGATTCTTTGTAGTCATTTCAATCTTTCCATTAAATTTATCTGACAGAATTCTTAATTCCTTCTCTGTGTTATCTTGGATTTCACTGAGCTTCCTCAAAACAGCTATTTTGAATTATCTGTCTGAAAAGTCACATATTTCTGCCCCTCTGGGATTGGCCTGTGTTACTGTTTTTAGTTCCTGTGGTGGGTAATATTTTCTGTGGATAGTCTTGATGCTTGGGGATGTTCGTGGATGTCTGGGAATTGAAGAATTAGGTATTTATTGTAGTCCTGGCAGTCTGGGCTTGTTTGTGCCCATCCTTCTTGGGAAGGCTTTCTAAGTATTCAGAGAGACTTGAGTGTTGCGATGTAAGTCTTTGGTCATTGCAGCCATATCTGCCTTAGGGAGGACCCCAATCCCAGTAACACTGTGGCTGTTGCAGACTTGTATAGGTACCACCTTAGTGGTCTTGGGTAAGATCCATGAGAATTCTCTGGATTATCAGTCAGTGACTCTTGTTCTTTTCCCTTACTCACCCCCAAACAAAAAGAGTCTGTCTCTCTGTGCTGAGTTGCCTGAAGCTGGGGGTTTGCTGACACAAGCACCCCCTGTGGCCAGCACCTCTGGTAGTGCACTGGATCAGACCCAAAGCTAGCAGAGAACTGGGTCTCACCCCACGCCTATGGTGACCACTGCCTGGTTCACTCAAGGCCCAAAAGCTCTGCAAGCATCAGGTGGTAAATACTGCCAGGCTTATGTCCTTCTGCTTAGGGCAATGAGTTCTCCTTGGTCCTGGGAGGGTCCAGATCTGCCACCTGGGAGCCAGGGTCTGGTGTCAGGAACCTTACAAATCTACCCGGTTTTCTATTCTACTATGGCTGAGCTGGCACCCAAGCCATGAGACAAAGTCCTTTTTAGTCTTCCCTCTCCATTACTTAAAGAGAGGAGTCTCTCCCTGTGGCTACCACCACCCCAGGCCTGTGGTGAGTACTGGCTTGCTACTGCCAATGTTCTATCAAGGCCTAAGAGCTCTTATGGTCAGCTTATGGTGAATGCTGCCAGGCATGAGTCTCTCCCTTTAGGGCAGTGGGCTTCACTCTGGCCCAGGGAAGGTCCAGAAATGCCAGCCAGGAGCCAAGACCTGGAATCAGGGAAAGCAGGAGTCTACTTGTCACTCTATCCCAGTGTGGCTAAGCTGGTATCCAAGCTCCAAGATAAAGTCCCCTTTACTCTTCCCTCTTTTTTCCCCAAGCAAAAGAAGTCTTTTCCTGTAGCCACCACAGCTGGGAATATGCTGGGTCACACCTGAAGCCAGCATGGCTCTGAGTCTTACCTGAGGCCAATGATGAGTCCTGCCTGGCTACCACTACTGATTATTCAGGGCCCAAGGGCTCTTTAGTCAGCAGGTGATTAATCTTGCCAGAACTAGGACATTCCCTTCAAGGTAGTGAGTTCCATTCTAGCCTAGGATGTGTCCAGAAATGCCATCCCAGAGCTAGGGCCTGAAATAGGAGCCTCAGGACTCTGTCTGGTGCCCTATTCTACTATGACCAAGCTGGTATCCAAGTTAGAAGACAGTCTTTTTTACTGTCTCCTCTCCTTTCCTCAAACAGAAGAAAAGTGTCTCTCCTGGATCTGTGAACTGTGCTGCCTAGAGTTGGGGGAAGGGTGATACAAGCACTCCCTTGGCTACCCTAGCTGGTGTCTCACTAAGTCACATGCACCCTAAGCCCACTGGCTCCAAACCCAGCACAACACCAGGACTTTCCCAGGAATTGCAGTTTTTGTGGCCCAGATTACCTTTTAAGTTTATTTCAGGACCCCAGAGCACTTTAGCCCATGTTGGTGGGGCTTGCCAGAACTCAGGCTTTGACTGCTACAATTAACAACTTGCCTCTGAGGACAAAAATCCAAACACCACATGTTCCCACTCATAGGTAGGAATTGAACAATGAGAACACTTGGACACAGGAAGGGGAACATCACACACCGGGGGGCCTGTTGTGGGGTGGGGGGAGGGATAGCATTAGGAGATATACCTAATGTAAATGACGAGTTAATGGGTGCAGCACACCAACATGGCACATGTATACATATGTAACAAACCTGCACGTTGTGCACATGTACCCTAGAACTTAAAGTATAATAAAAAATAAAAAATAAAAAATAAAAACCTTGCCTCTGGCTAGGGCTGGTCTAAACGTTCACTCTATGTGCACTGGCTGAATTCTGTCCCATGTTGCTTTCTGCTGTGACAGGGCAGCACTGGGTTCCAATGCAAAGTCCCACAATCACTTTGCTCTCCCTCCCCCAAGCACACAGATTCTCTCTCTGTGCCATGTGGCCAGTGATGGGGGTCGTGTGGTGTAGGTGATTGAAAACTCTCTTTCTTACCCTCTTCAGTGCCTGTTTCCTTGATATAAATTTAAAACTAGGCACTGTAATTGCTCACCTGATTTTTGATTCTCATAAAGGTGGTTTTTTGTATGTGGATAGTTGTTTAACTTGTTTTTCCTGCAGGGGGATCTCTAGAGGGTTCTATTTGGCCATAGTTGTCTGCCTCCTCCCCTATATTGCCTATTAGTTTTGCTGGTTCCATCTCATGGCATCTTTTCTTTTTGTGTGTCTGATTATCTTTAATCGTGTGAATTATCCTGTAATCACACTATGATTTTTAGAAATAATTTGAGACCCAGGAAGAGCTTGTCTTTCTCTAAGGAGTATTTTTAAAAATATTTAGTTAGATTATGACAGTATGTGGGAGAGCTAGCAATATGAATTCATCTTAATCCTAGTTCAGGGCTTGATATTTTCTGTGTTACCCAGATAGCTTGAAGGTGGTATACAGTCCATGGAAGGACTTGTTTCTTTTGATTTTATTCTCTTTTCTAAGATGCAAAAGTTCAGGGTGCAAAATGGGAGGTTGTTTTCTAAGATCCTGACTCTCTATTGCCTTGGATTGTGATCTTTGCACTTTGTCCTTTAAGCCTTCTCCAAAGCATAACTCTGTCTTTCGGTTATCACTTCCAGATCAATAAATGTCCACAGGACAAAAGCAGTGCCAACTGTGGGGCTCACCTTCCTGGATTCCTGTCTTCTTCCTAGATCTTGGTCCGGTAAGTTTTCTAACATCTTGTTGGTTCTCTGATGCTTAAAGAAAATTCAAAAACATTTCACCACTTCTTTTTATCTGTCTTCAGTGGAAGGGTTGGTCTGAATAACCTAGTCCACCATTCAAGGCCCAGTTGGCTTTCCTTAAGGTTTTGCTACACAGTTTTGTATTTCTAAACCATGTATCATGCGGGTTCCTTTTCTGTGCTTATAAAACTTTTTATATGGAATGTATTTTTCTGAAAATTGTTTTTCAGTATCACCCCTGTTGATGTGTGTGGCTTTAGTTCATTTATTTTTGCCAATGTATAGAGTTTCATTGTGTAAATATATCAAACTTTATTAATTGTCCTATCAATTGGTATTTGGGTTATTTTCAATTTATTTGCTATTATGAACAATGCTAACATTGAATTCATAACATTTAGTGCAAATATTTTAAAAGAGATCTTAGTAAATTGAGAGATATATCATGTTCATGGGTAAAGAGACACCACATTGCAAACATGTCTGTTTTCCCCAAATTGATTTATAGATTCAATTAACTTTTATATATATAACAACTTCAACATGCTTATTCCCACGGAGAGTCCATTGCTCATTAGACACCATGCTGCTCTAGAGACACATGGAAAAATAGAAGATGGACCCTGACTTCCACAAAATAGTTGTTTTAAATATCGCTTTGTCTTCCACCTCTTCTTTGCCCAAAGTAATAACTTCTTTCAATTGAGAAAAAGAAGGCCAAATTAAATAAATACTTTCAACTTTAAGTAGGTGTTATGCTATGAAGTACAAAGTATGAAGTATGTTCTAAATGTTCTAAATCTAGAACACTTTCACCTAGGACATGTTCTGAGAATCACATTCCCAGGTGGTAGCAAATAGTCATGAACAGAATTAGGGAGAGGCAAACAGGGCACACAGATGTTACTTGATGTTACTTATGTTATTTTCCTTTATAATTATTCTTTTGTGTTTACTCAATATTTAACAGAAACAATTTTAAAAACTGTTTTATAATAGAGGGGAAAATGTTTTAGAGGCTTATGTTGCAATTCTTAGTTTGGATGGTGAGCTCATGAGTATTTGTTTTATATGCATACACATTATATAAACACACATACAATCACATCTATACTTCCATATGTATCAAATGTTACAAAATACATCATTAAAAATGTCAGGAACAGATCACCCCTCCACCTTTGCCCCCAACTCCGTACATAGTGGACTCACTCCTCCCCAGTCCCATACCTCGGTGCACTCCACCCTGTTCCCTCGGCCCTATACCCCAGTGTGCCCCAGCCCTGCCCCAGCCTCCACTGTGTTTCCTTCCTCCCCGCACAACTGCCCCTCAGCTGATTTCTCCTCTGCAGCACAGACTCCCTGGAGAATGCAGCTTAGTTTCAGGGGTGAAGACAAGCCGCCTGCTAGGGGTAGCAGTGGACAGCAGGAAGCTGTGCCCCTGGGCAAAAAGCCACAGTAGCAGCTCACCTAAGAGCATAGGCAGTTCTCTATCCCACTGGGTCCACAATGGCCTGGGGACAGCCCAGCACCCAGAATAGTGCTCAGCAGGGACTGCAGACTCAGGATTGGACTGCCACACAGATCATGGCCCAGGTGGTGTCTGAGGAGGACACGGACAAGGATGTGCTTCTCCCCCAGCTGCTGAAGTCCAATGAGTCCATCAGTGCTTTCTGCCCCTTCCTGGCAGAATGAGACTTTCAAGCTTGGGCTTCCAAGTCACCCTCCTTCTCAAAGCTTGACTCAGTCAAGAACAGACAGAGACGCAAGTCTTCAATGAACTTCTTGAAGATTATCAATCTGAAAATCTTCATTAGGAAATTCCTGCTCTTGAGTGGGGTGGGTTCAGGGAGATCGGGAAAAACGAGAAAAGGCTTTTGCTTCAGAGTTAAGTTATGTGGCCTTTGTGTTGGCCTTTGTACTTTGCTCTTGGTTGCCATAGATGAGGCTCAATAAGGCTTGGGTCAGGGGTCTAGGCCCTCTGGATCCAGCCTACAGGCCAGGTCAAAGGCTAATGACACTTATGTGACTTTTACCAGGTCTCTAGTTTGGTGTTGTGCTCACTGCATCCTGGGAAACTTCAATGCCCTTTTAGGCCCTGGTCTGCTTCGTGGATAGCAGCTGCCTTCCTAGATGCTCCTGGTCCTTCTTCCTGAGACTCAGATCTGAGTCCAGGCTGCTTTCTTCTTCTCTTACACAACCACCTCCTTCTCTAGTCCTTGATGTTCCCTTCTCTAAATACTGGCTATGAAATTGATGAGTCTCCAAAGCTTTTTCTAAGATGGCTGCCAAGTTCCCTTTTGTTTCATTTTTATTTTACTAAGGCAGGACCATTCTGGCGAGATGGGCTCTCCTCCCACCTCTGGTTCAAGGGTTCCCCACAGACTTGGCTGAGCCTTTCTTGGAACTGGTCTGTAGTATGAAACTCTTCCTAGCCAGGCTTCCTTTCTGTCCTCTCTCCTTCCATGGTGTCAGTACTGCATCATTGTCTGAGGCTCTCTTCACCTTTTTGTGCATCATCTTCTAACAACTGTCTTTCATTTTTTTTTTTTTGAGTTGGAGTCTCACTCTGTCATCCAGGCTGGAGTGCAGTGATGCAATCTCTGCTCACTGCAACCTCCACCTCCTGGGTTCCAGTGATTCTCCTGCTCCAGCTTCCTGAGTAGCTGGGATTATAGGCGTGTGCCACCATGCCTGGCTAATTTTTGTGTTTTTAGTAGAGACGGGGTTTCACCATGTTGACTAGGCTGGTTTTAGACTCCTGACCTCAGGTGATCCACCCACCTCAGCCTCCCAAAGTGCTGGGATTACAGGTGTGAGCCACCTTGTCCGGCCTCTAATCCCATCTTGATGTCTGCTTCTTGGTGAGCCTGAGTTGATGAACTAATGCAGCCTTTCCTTTTTAGCACACAGGCCTGTAGAAGCAACATAAGTAGGATCAAAATATTCCTTCTGAAATTTGGGTTTCTGAGATTCTTCATAGAGGGGCACACACATCCCCATGAGTCTAAGTGGAGATATACTCTCCTGGGGATTTTATTATACCTCCTTATGTATCTGGGACTCAAAACTATCTGTCAGCCTCTGATCAGAGATCTGGAGACTAGAAGCCAGTCCTGGAACTGGAGCCAGCTGCAGGTGTGAGAAGAAGCCCAGGAAGGTGGAGCTCCATGTCTAGGAGGCTGGGGCAGGAAGACCTGGTGAGAGGAAGGTGGAATATATGGGTAGACAGGCAGAGGAATAGAGCAACCTGGGAGATCGCTGAGGTGAGGGGTCTGACAAACTGTACCCTCATCCTCAGGTATGATGCCAAACCCAAGACTAATCCCTGAAGACAGGAACAGGGTCAACACCTGATCCCAGAGGAGCTCGACCATAGCTGGGAAAAACTGGACAGGATGCTGACCACATTGGCTCAGTGGTGCATCATGGGTCCTTCTGCGCTAGGCAGGACTCCTTGAAGTCCTGCTGATTGGGAACAAGGTTAGAATCAGAGTCTCGGGTAGAAAGAATTTGAGAGTGAGGTCAGGTGGAAAGGGGGTGGTGGGGGGCTCAGGAAAATAGGTTCCTTCATGAGTGGAGAAGGGTGGGCAGCTCCCTAGGTACCTGCCTGTTCTGTGAGCCATACAAAAGGCTGCAGCAATGCTGTATGCTGTCTTTGTGGAGGACACTTGGGAAGAACACTGGACAGGCAAAATCTGGGGTACATCTTACTTTGTGACAATCTAGCGATTGCCTGAGGTCTGCATTTTCATGGGCATGACAGACATATATGAACATTTCTCAAAGTGCAGCAATTGGATAGATCAGCTCTTTAGCAGCACCATGAGCTGAAGAAGCTTGAAGGACCCTGACAGATGCTGGAAGTTCCTGGTAATGGCACTAATGGAAAATGTGGACATTTGAGAGCTGACTGCTTTCTTTAGCCTTTAATTCCAATTTCCTTTCCAAATCTATCTTCAACCCAAATTGCTACAAAGGGGAAAACTGACATGCTAAACCTCTTCCTGGGCTCAGGCTTAACAAAGGCACAAACAGTTAAAAAATCTCTACAGAGGGAAGGAGGAGTAGCCAAGCTTTTCATAATGCAGATGCCGCAATGTCAATTCCCAAATGCACTGAGCTGGCTAGCAAGTGGCAGAACTGATGTAGAAACTGGACAAATTCTAGGAAGCACATGGGTGCCAGTGGCAGGCAGTGAAGCCAACAGCCACAGTAGGCCAGACAGCAGGGAATTAGGAGGCTGAGAGTTCAAGAGGAACCAGATCAAATGCTGTTTCTCAGGTTTGCCACTTTGAAACATTCTCCCTAGTGCCAGTTAAATATTCAGATTCCCAGGTCTCTCTCCAGATGTGCTGCTTTGGAATCTCCAGATGATGACCTAGATTGTTATTAACAAGCATGTTTAGGAAACACTGGTACAGAAGAAAGTGCATCCTAAATCAGAAGATTTGACTGGTTAACTGAATCCTCTGTTGGCCCTCTGATGAAAAGGTTTGCTTGGATTTGTGTCTCGTGATTTCCACCCCTGCTATGATCTCAGACCCTGTGCTAATGTGGAAACATTACTTTGATGGAAACATAGAATGTTGTAACTCAAAGGACTCTTTCAAAGGCCAGGGAAGATGGCAGCAGGCACCAACTACTTTCTAGATACTGTGCTGGGCATTTTTACATGCAATATCTCATTTATTTCTTGTAGCAACCTCAGGCAGGTAATATTTGTTTCTTTTACACGGGAGGAAAGTAAGGATATCACACGCTAAGTATCTTGTCCCAAATCATGCCTTCACAAGGGTCAGAGCTAAAGATTTATTTGAATGCTTTTTGTTTGACATTAAAGCTCTTTGCCTTTCTACCTAAATACATTGCCTTTGATGTCATTGAGACACTTCATTTTGGGGAGAAGTAAATGGAGGCACAGAGGCACAAAGTGACTTGCAAAAAGTTACATAGAGAGTTGTGGTGGGTCTGGGATGGGATCCTGGGACCCCTAGGTCTTGTTCTGGTGCTCTTTCTTCCAAGCCAAGAGCTCATCTCGGTGGAAGGGCCCCTGCAGAGGCTTGTACTTTGGACCTGTTATGCACTTCTTGGATAGCTTCACAGACCAAACTCAAGCTCGTGTCTCTCTGCCAAGATCTCAGGCTTTTATGCTAGCCACATTTTGTTTACCATTTCCCAATATATGAGAATAAGAAAACTACATTAAAGCAAATGTTTATAAGAGTCAAATCTCTTAGATGAGTTTTTTTAAAAGTTTCTATTGAAATAGTTTTAATAGTTGCCTGTGAAAACATACCTTTTACCCACTGATAAAGCAAAATAGGAAGATTGCCAGGCAGGGGTAGGGAATGTGGTGAGGTGAACCACATGTGACAAACAACTCAGTTGGCAGCAGGGAGCTCACTATTGAGCAGGCCGTGTTCTTTGACCTGATGCCCAGCAGCCTCAGGACATCAGAGGAGGCAGGAACCTGTGCAAACCTCTCCCTCATCGCCCCCACTCCACAACTGCAGTGTTCTGGGAATACATGCTGACCTTTCTTCTTTCTACACTTTCTCTTGTGAACTCTCTTCTGCCAGGGATAATCTCCCTGATTTTCTCTCTAATTAATTCTCATTCCTTCTCTAAAGCCATAGTTCAAATTCTGCCTACTTTGTAAACATTTTTTTTCCCTCACAAGGAGATAGCTTCTCTCCCAGTCAGAAACAGTGCTTGGCATCTCTTATGCTCCTCCTTAAATGCTTCCTTGTTTTGTACTGACTTCCATTTTGGTCTTAGCTGCAGGATAAGACGTTCCTTAAGGGAAGGGAATCTTGTCTTTCTCATCTTGTCTTCTCTCAGTGCCTAGCACAGTACCTCAGCCATTAAGGAACACACAGTGAATCTCCAAGCATGGGGCCCAGCATAATAAAACACTTCAGTGATCTTCAACTACCTAATTTCTGAGTCTTCTAACTGAAGAATCTTATGGTTACTTTCCTCACAGCTCTCAACTTCTCTCCTTTCTCAGGCTCTGCTTGGGGAGAACCTTCTTACCTCCTGGTCATTTTAGACCACATGTTTTGGTGCTTGGGAAGAAAGAAATCCTGTTTTTCTTTCTTGGTCAAGATCTATCTGTAAGTCTGGAAGAGCAACTCTTGTCCTCTGTTGACTTCAGGGGCTGGGACTTGATTTTCATTTGAGCTGAAGGATAACTGTGCATTTCTGTGCCTGAAGCAGCCTTCAGGACCCACACTGGTTGTGGAACTGGTTGGTTGAGGAGGACTTAAAGACAATAGAATGAAGCCCCATGGTGGAGGGAACAGGGAGGACCTCCCTCAGCTCTGCCTCCCATGAAGACATCAGAAACCTGAAGGGAGTCCTCAGAGAGAATGTTGCTATAGGCTGTGAAGAAACTTTAGGAGAAGTTTGGGAGCGGGCTAGGATGAGAAGAAATGGCACCAGAAGTGTTTTTTTCAGGGAAGTAGAAGTTTGGGGCAACCAAAGCTGGAGGCTGAGTAGTGGGAGAACTGCTAATTCTTAGAGTGAAAAGCAGTGAAACTCTGAGTTTAGATTCTAGTGGCTTTCAGAGAGACTCACTGGGACCCAGACAGACAGAGTTTGACCTTCCAAGTGACTGAGAGAACTAATGAAAGTGCTTTTGGCTTTGGACTGAAGAGTGACCTGGAAAAGGAAAATACCATATGAGGTTGTGCCCTGAACTCTGAACTCATGTAAAGTAGTTTTACATGCAGTAATTTTGTAACCAAGGTACAAAGAAGTGTGTGGACTAAACAGTTGATTGCTGGAAGGGGCACAATAAAGGAAGAACTAAGGGAGAAAAGACCTGCCACTCTTACTTAGCAAACACTGACAATTTCATATCCTCCTTTCCTATTTGGATGCCTTTTCTTTCTTTCTTTTGCCTCTTTGCTCTGGCAAGGACTTTCAATACTATATTGAATAGAAGTGGTGAGAATGGGCATCTTGTATCAGCCTGTTCTTGCATTGCTATAAAGAAATACTTGAGACTGGGTACTTGATAAAGAAAAGAGGTTTAATTGGCTTGCAGTTTTGCAGGTTATACAAGAAACAAGTTGCTGGCATCTGGTCAGCTTCTGGGGAGGCCTCAGGATACTTACAATCATGGCAGAAGGCAAAGGGGGTGCTGGCATGTCACATGGCTGGAGCAGGAGCAAGAGAGATTAGGCAGGTGCTACACACTTTTAAGCAATCAGATATGTCAGAAACTTACTCTGTATCATGAGAACAGCACCAAGGGGATAGAGCTAAACCATTCATGAGAAATTTGCCTCCATGATCCAATCACCTCCTACCAGGCCCCACCTCCAATACTGGGGATTACAATTCAACATGAGATTTGGGTGAGGACAGAGATACAAACCATTTCATCATCCTTGCTCCAGATCTTAGAGGAAAGACTTTCAAGTTGTCACTATTGAGTATAATGTTTGCTGTGGGCTTGCCATATATGGCCTTTAATGTGTTGAGGTATATTCCTTCTACACCTACTGTGGATGAGAGTTTATCATGAAAGGATGCCAAAATTTGTCAAATGCTTTTTCTGTATCTAATGATATGATCATATGGTTTTTGTCCTTCATTCTGTTAATGTGATGTATCACATTTATTGATTTGCATATGTTGAACCATCCTTGCATCCCAGAGGTAAATTCCACTTGATAATGGTAGATGATCCTTTTAGTGTGTCATTGAATTCTTTTTCCTAGTATTTTGTTGGGAATTTTTGCATCTGTGTTCATCAGGGATATTCACCCATAATTTTCTATTCTTGTAGTATCCTTGTCTGGCTTTGGTATCAAGGTAATGCTGGCTTCATAAAAAGAGATTGGAAGTATTTCTTCTTCTTTGATTTTTTTGTAAGATTTTGAGAAGAATTGGTATTAAGTCTTGAAATGTCTAGCAGAGTTCAGCAGTGAAGCCATCAGGTCCTTGACTTTTCTTTAATGGGAGACTTTTTATTAGTGATTCAATATTCATACTCACTGGGCTTGTTGCATTTTCTATTTCTTCATGATTCAGTCTTGGTAGCTTGTATGTGTCTAGGAATTTATCCATTTCTGTAGATTATCCAATTTGTTGGCATAGAATTATTTACATAGTCTCTTATGATTCTTTGCATTTCTGTGATATCAGTTATAATGTCTTCTCTTTCATTTCTGATTTTATATATTTGACTCTTTGTTTTTCATAGTCTACTTACAGATTTGTGGTTTTTATCTTTTCAAAATCCAACTCTCAGTTTGTTGATTTTTTCCTGTATTCCTATCTTATGTATTTCTGCTCAAATCTGCATCATTTTCTTTCTTCTGCCAACTTTCTGCTTAGTTTGTTCTTATTTTTCTAGTTCCTTGAGGAGTAATGTTGTTTGAGATTTTTTCTTCTTCTTGATGTAGGTATTTATTGCTATAAACTCTCCTATTAGAACAGCTTTTGTTGTATTCCATAAATTTTGGTATGTTGTGTTTTTATTTTCATTTGTCTCAGATATTTTTAGATTTTCATTTTAATTTCTTCATTGATCCATGGGCTATTCGGGAGTATGTTGTTTAATTTCCATGTATTTGCAAACTTTCTAAAATTCCTCCTGTTGATGATTTCTAGTTACACTTATCGTGGTTGGAAAATATACTTGATATTGTTTCAATCTTCTTAAATTTTCGAAGGCATGTTTTGTGCTGTAACATGTGCTATATCTTACAGAATGTGCACTTGAGAAGAATGTGTATTCTGTGGCTGTAATGTTCTGTATATGTCTGTTAGGCCCATGTGGTCTAAAGTGCAGTTCAAGTCTGATGTTTCCTTACTAATTTTTTTTTTTTGAGAGGGAGTTTCATTCATGTTGCCCAGGCTGGAGTGCAATGGCATGATCCCAGCTCACTGCAACCTCTGCCTCATGGGTTCAAGCAATTCTCTTGCCTCAGCCTCCCAAGTAGCTGGGATTACTGGCATGCGCCACCATGCCCGGCTAATTTTATAGTTTTAGTGGAGGTGAGGTTTCACCATGTTGGTCAGGCTGATCTGGAACTCCTGGCCACTCCTGACCTCAGGTGATCCACCAGCCTTGGCCTCCTAAAGTGCTGGGATTACAGGCATGAGCCACCGTGCCCAGTCTCCTTTTTAATTTTTTGTCTGAATAATCTAGTCATTGTTGAAAGTAGGTTATTGAAGTACCCAAATATTATTGTATTACAATCTATCTCTCCCTTAAGATCCTTTAATATTTGTGTTATGTATTTAGGAGTTCTGATGATGGGTGCATATATATTTATAATTGTCACATCCTCTTGAAAAATTGACCCCTTTGTCATTATATAATGGCCTTCTTTGTGTCTTTTTACAGCTTTTGACTTAAAACGTATTTGTCAAACGTAAGTAGAGCTACCCCTGCTCTCTTTTGGTTTTCATTTGCATGGACTATCTTTTTTCATCTCTTCACTTTCAGTCTGTATGTGTCTTTAAAAGTGAGATAAGTTTCTTACTAGGCAGTGTATAATTGGGTCTTTTGCTTTTTTCTTTATATTCATTCAGTCACTCTATATCTTTTTGTTGGAGAATTTAATTCATTTATATCCAAGGTAATTATTGATAGGTAAGGACTTACTGCTGCAATTTTGTTAATTGTTTTCTGGTTGTTTTGTAGATACTTTATTTTATTCTTTCTCTTTTGCTGTCTTCCTTTGTGATTTGATGATTTTCCGTAGTGGTATGCTTTCATTCTTTTGTATGTTTGTTTTGTGCTTCTAAATGTTTCTGTCTTTTGGTTACTATGAAACTTATATAGAACATCTTATAATCTGTTTCAAGCCAATCATAGCTTAACTGTAATTGTATATAACAAATCTACAGTTTTAGCCCCCAATTTATGTTTTTGATATCAGAACTTAACATCATTTTGTAATGTGATTCCTTGACAATTTATTTTAGCTATAGTTATTATTAATTGTTTTGTCTTTTAGCCCTTATACTAGGAATAAAATTGTTTTCATCACCATTATTACAATCCTAGAGTGTTCTAAATAGGGCTCTGTTTTACTTATATCGTTGAATTTTGTGCTTTTGTGTGTTTTATGTTATCAATTAGAGGTCTTTTTTTTCAGCTTAAAGAACTCCCCTCAGCAATCTCTGCAAGGCGGGTCTAATGGTGATAAACTCTCTTAGATTTTGCTTGGGAAGGTTTTATTTCTTCCTCATTTGGGAAAAAAAAAGCTTTGCTCTGTCAGTTATTCTGGTTTGGCAGATTTTGCCCTCAGCAGTTTGAGTATATCATCCCACTCTCTCTTGATCTGCAGGATTTCTGCTGAGGAGACTACTAGTTGTATTGGCACTTCTTTAGATGTGATATATTTCTTATCTGTTGCTGCTCTCAGAATTTTTTCTTTATCTTTGGTTTCTGATAATTTGATTATTGTGTGTCTTGGTGAACTCCTCTTTGATTTGAATTTGACTGGAGACCTCTGCACTTGGTGTACCTGGATGTTGCCATCTATCCCCAGATTAGGGAAAATTTCAGTCATTATTTCTTCAAATATGCTTTCTGGGCCCTTTTTTCTTTCTTTGCCATTTGGAACTCCTGTTACATGAACACTGAATCTCTCAGTGGTGTTTCAAAATTCCTGTACTTTCTTCATTCATTTACTTTTTTTGCTTCTCTGCCTGGATAATGTCAAATATTCTGTCTTTGAGCACACTGATTCTTTCTTCTGCTGGATTGAGTCTGCAGTTGACTCTTTCTATTGAAGTTTTTAGTTCAGTCATTATATTTTCATATCTAGAATTTCTATTTTGTGCTTTTCTATTGTTTCTATTTCTTTATCTCACTTTGTGTATTGTTTTCCAAATTTCATTTAATTTTCTATCTGTATATTCTTGTAGTTCACTAAATTATTTGAGAAAATTGTTCTGAATTTTTTGTCAGTAATTTCATAGATCTCTATTTCTTTAGGGTCCATTATTAGAGCCTTATTAGTTTAATCATGAAAGTGCCATGATTCCCTGATTATTTTTAATCCTTGTGTCCTCTGCTTATTTGAGCAGACAGCCCCCTTTTTAGCCTTTACAGGTGTTCTTCGGCAGGGATGGGCCTTCACTGTTTAGCTTGTGATTCTGGGAGGACTAGCTGGTAATGACCTCTAGAAGTCAAAACTGTTTGTGAGTTCTTTAATTGGCTGAGTCACTGCTTTTGCTCTGATGTTGGGTGGGGCTTCTGCCTGGGCTCTGCTGTCTGGAAGATCACTGGCTGGGTTCTGAAATCAAGTGGAGCTGCTGACTGGGTACTGTGATGGCCTCTGGTCAGGCCAGCTACAGGATGTATTCCCTGGCTGAGTGATTCCACTATTTGGGATCTGTATTTGGACAGTGCTGCAGGCAGGGCTCTGAGGTTATGTGTAATTGCTGCTAGGGATAAGTTGAACCAGTCTATGCTCCTATAAATGCATAATTGTGGATTGTCTCCCTGTTAGTTTGGAGCTGTGGGGTGGACTTTTGGCTGAGTTGACCTGCTATTTGACCTCTCAGGTCAAGCAGGTCTATTCTCTATGCTTCTCCAAAAAGCACAGAGGTGAGTCTTCCTGCCTGGCAGGCTTGTTGCATTAGCTTTTTGACTGAATGAAGCTGTTGCTTGACTTACTGGGTCAAACAGATCTAACTCCTATATTTCTTTGAAATGGATGAAGGTGAGCATCTCCCTGCCTGGGCAGAATTGTTGGGGTGGGTTTGGAAACTGAGCATTGAGACTAGTCATCTATGAACTCAAGCTAGGTTGAACTTCCCACCATGCTTCTGAAAATGACCAGCTCAGCTTTGTGGGTGGGCTATGAAGTTGGCTGGTATCTTCAACTGAGCACCACAGGCCGGGTGCGGTGGCTCACGCCTGTAATCCCAGCACTTTGGGAGGCCGAGGCTGGTGGATCATGAGGTCAGGAGATCAAGACCATCCTGGCTAACACGGTGAAACCCCGTCTCTACTAAAAATACAAAAAATTAGCCGGGCGTGGTGGCGGGTGCCTGTAGTCCCAGCTACTCGGGAGGCTGAGGCAGGAGAATGGCGTGAACCTGGGAGGTGGAGCTTGCAGTGAGCCAAGATTGCGCCACTGCACTCCAGCCTGGGCGACAGAGTGAGACTCTGTCTCAAAAAAAAAAAAAAAAAAAATTGAGCACCACAGTTGGCAGAAATATAGAAATAACATTAAAATCTATACAGAGGTCACTGTGATCTATGTCTCTTTCTTTATTTCTACCTGACCCTAGGAAGTCTAGTCATGCTGTTACCCCTAGTGTTTTCCATGAGGTGAGACCAGAGTGGGACTCCTGGAAGTATCTCAGAATGCTAGAGAGAAACTGAACGATTGCCTCTGGTTCTGTTTTCCTCCTGTATAAGCTGTGGGTCCAGGGAATCCACTCCACCTGGCATTGTGCTGACTTGGGTGAGGATGAGGGGCAGTGCAGTTGAAATGAGACTATTCTTCTTTCTCTTCAAATTTGGTTTTCATCCAGTTCTGCAGACAACATGGTTGTCTTAGTCTTGTTTCCAAGTGTTGGAGTTTTTAAAAAGCTGTCTTGTCTGGACAGTTGCTAGTTGAACTTTCTGTGGGGAGGAGTAGAGCCTGAGACTTTCTATTTCTCTGTCTTGCTGCTGTTCAGTCTTTCTTACATTGCCTCTCTTACTTATACAGATAGAAAGTCTCCCAAATAGCAGATGAAGTGACCTCAGGGCTTTCAGATTCTTGTCTCTGAGTGTAAAGCATCAGGCCAGGTTGGGCATGTGTTGAAATGGGATGGGTTCCATTTCAGTCAGTCTCACACATGCTTCTTCTTGGGGGATGCCCCGATTGGAGGGTTTAATCTGAGACCGTCTAGTTGTGTTACATACCACCCTTTCCTATATCTAATCTATTGCTCTAAGTCATATGAAATTGTCAATCTAGGTTTGAAGGGCAGGATCAAGAGATTTCCACATGGTTAGATGAAAAAAATAAACAAAACCACACTTGCAACAAAACACCTTTAAAGTGGTTGGAACCTACTTGTGCTTTCTTTTCCTAGTAGTATCTGGAAGAGCCTAGCGCTTGTCTCAGACCCCACTGTGCTCTGTGAGGGACCCCTCTGCTCAGAGGACAGTCATATTAGTCCTCTTATTTGTCCTCTTATTCATTATCCCAAAGCCTTTCCACTAGCTTTGGGATAATGAAAGAGGGATCCGTAGTTATCCCTGTAAGTGGTAAGTGAAGGCAGATTTGGTGATGGTAGTGATAAGTGGATGGGATTGCCTTATTAATTTATTGATATGAGATATAGGTGTGTTTATGAAAAGCTGGCTCAGAAGCAAACATTAGGGATTAGAAATACTTTCCTGTTAATCTTCATAATTAAGCTAAAGACGGTTTTTCCAGTGGGACATTTTAACCCTGGAATAGTACAAATTAGACTTCCAAAAGCAACCCCTTAAAACATCAGCTAAGTGAAGGGAAAAATATGTTTTAATAAGACATCAATGAAAACCAGAAGTCACAACCAATCCATTCGATGATGAATGGAACATGTTGTATTAAAAACTGGGTTCCCTTGTGTCACTATGTTACCAGACTTCCAGTGGCTTAATGTTGCCTTTGTTGGCAACCTGGAGAATGTGGTTAAGAAGACTAATTTGGCCTGCAGAATCTAAGGAAACTTGACTGTCTTAGTTGTGCATGTTGGCACTGTGGAAGAAGGCATTGGGGCATCTCAAGTCTGGTTCCAGGGCTTAACAGTAATCAAATATACAAAGGTAAACCTCTCTCCCTGTGTCTCTCAGGTTAGCTGCTTTTCATAATATGCAGGAGAGCTATGATGGAGAGAGATAAGTCCTTAGTCATGATGAGTCTCCAAAAGTGACCTTTGATGCCAATGATGAGTGTCTATGAGGGAGGATTTACACATTAATCACATGAGCCTTGGGTTTGTACTGGCCACGCAGCATTTGAAAACCTCCTCCTGGGCCTGAGCTCCTGGTTCCTTGGCTCCAAGAATACTGCTTCAAAGTGTTCTCTGAAAGAACCAAGCATCACCAGAGAGGGTGAATGTCAGTATAGCATGGCACCCCTTTTGGAGTTTTTATCGTCCTCATCTTTTTATCAGGAATATAGAAGCAGTACAATTATAATATACAGGAACTCCTCACTTTGCATGGTTCCAATATGCATGAATTTCCACTAGCTAAATTTCTGTTATCATGGTATATTAGCTGTGAGTAATTGCATAAAGTATAAACTTTGCTGCTAGCAATTCAGTCCACAAATAACTACATAAATAACAGATGCACATCATGATCAGTGACTAATCACATCACTTTTTTCAAAGTAAGCTTATAATTGTTCACTGAGCTTCTGTTATGTAGTTCAGACACAGAGAGCAAAGCTCTCTATAGTTTTATCACTTCCTTGACTCTCAGTTATGTATCCATGTGATATTTTAAAAAATGGGAAATTGAAAGATGGAATTGACCAACAAAGATGAAAGTCCAGAAAAGAAAAAAGAGGTGATAACACTGGAAATTGAATTTAAATTGAACATAAATAGAATTGTAGAAGAAATGATTGTGGAGATGTTGACACTGCTGTTGTTTGCAAGACTCTAGATGTAAGTCTTACTGATACAGGAGATAGAAAGAAATTATTTGGGCAGGTAGTGAAGGTAAAAGAGTCCTCAGCAGGGCTTCTCTTTTTAACAAAAAGCATCCTCCCAAATCATTTCTTTTCTAACAAAGATCAGCCTTAAAAATTGAGCTGCAAACATAGATAAGCAAGCTAGAAGTTTGCACAGGTTTATGCTGGAATATGTGCCAGTAGAAAAGGGCTACCTGGAGGCCAGACATATCCAACATGGAGGTTCCATCTTCCCTTTTTTTTTTGTTACCACACGTGCAGTAAAAAAGCAGGCAACATGGTGCTGGCCAGGCAGAAGACCCATCTGCATAATAAAAGATTAGGGTGGGGGAAGCCAGCTTTTTGTGCCTTATGCAAATGGCACACCTAGCCCTAGCCAGTTTTTCACACCTTATGCAAATGGCACACCTAATCCAACCAATTTTTTGTGCCCTATGTAAATTAGACACTGCCTCCTCACCACACATCTATAAAACCCCCTGCATTTAGCCACGAATCTGGTGACCCATTTTTTGGGACTCCTCTCTGCTTCATAGAGCTTTTCTCTTACTTATGCCTATTAAACTTCTGCTCTTAACCTCACTCCTTGTGTGTCTGCATCTTGATGTCTTCTATCCACAGACTGCCATGTCTCCTATCCACTCTCTGTGTGCAATGCTGTGGGAATTTCTATGGTTCAGGGAAATAATCCTGTTAGGCAAGATCAGGAAATACTGCAGTAACTGGGAATATAGCTCAAGGGATTGCTGCTTTTGTGATTTTCTAGGAACCGAGGGTTTCCTCCCCTTCACCCATGAACGTCTCTCTCTATCCTTTCTCCTGAAAACACGTGGTATTTCAAGTCCTACAATGCCACCTAGTGGAATAGGAATCCTCTCCATGAGGCACATTGTCATCCCTTTGCCAAAACACTCAGTTTCCCAATTCTCCTCCCTTTTTGCACCCCTCTACTAGAGAACAGGCTTTATACCCCATCTGTGAATGGGAAAACTCAACAATGAGGAGAAAAATGTCCTCCAAAACCAAATTTGAGCCCCAATACTGTCCCATCAGCAGGAAAACCACCACTCAGTCCCTACATTCTTTTAAGGCACCTCTTCTGCCTTCAATTAAAATGGTACTTCAATAGTAAGAGGATATGTATGGAAGTTAACCAGAACCACTGCATAAGAATAAATACTCCAGTCCAGCCCATAATAGCAGAATGTAGAGCTTAACCCAGTAGACTTCCTCCATTAAGGGGCCTTGTCCAAATCTGGTTGTTGTGTAGTGTTTCCTGAGATCCATCTACTGGGGAGCCATGCAGATCACACAAGTGTAGGAAGTCAAAGGGAAATCACCAACAGAGGGACTAGAGCTGCATGGGTAAGCGTGACTAACTCCATATCTTAGTTCCTCTGGATCCATGGCTGAGGGTCACACTTGCGTCCACAGGTGGCACTTTTAATGTGTGCCAGGGCTCAGAGAACCAAGGAGGGAAAACAGTTGGGGGGACATCCCCACTGTCTTCCCTTCCACCCTGGACCATTCTAAAGGAAGGACGGGAATGAGGGACACCTTGTCTCCTGTATCTTTCTAGCCATCTTTAGTCTGCACACCTCTGGAGTACCTTCTGAAACAGTGAGACTACTTTAACCCTGAAACTTTGCTTTACACAAGGGCATGTCCTTCTTGCTAGACCTTTGAAGGCATTATGCAATTGACTCAGCTCTTAGCAGTCATATCATGCAGGCCCAAAGGGAGTGATTCCCCAAAACTAGAAAAGCAACTTCTGGGGGAATTATCTGAGGCAGCTATTGGGTGTCCCAGACCTTCTTGTCCTCTTTATTTGGAGCCCCCTCCAATTACACCATCAGCTCCTCCAGCTCCACCATCGTCAAAACTCTTCATTCCTCCAGCTTCACTCTTACCCCTACAGGAAATGTCCAATGAAGGTGTTGCCACTAGGGTTCAAGTTCCCTTCTCATTGCAGGACCTTAGGCAAATAAAGGGAGACTTATGCAGATTTTCTGATGATCCCAATAGGTATATAGACGCTTTCCAAAATTTAACTCAGATGTTTGACTCTCATGATGGGATGTTATGCTGCTGCCAAACCCTAACCACAGCTAAAAAACAGGCAGCTCTGCAGGCAGCAGAGAAATTCAGAGGTGAGCAATATGTCTCCTATAGTGGGACAAAAAGGAAAAGAGAAAATAGGGAAAATGAAGAAATAGGAGAATCATTATTCCCAATAGGAAGAGAGGCAGTAACTCTTGACAACCCTGATTGAGACCCCAGTGACTCCACAGATGAATGGGAGAGAAAACACTTTTTAATGTGCATATTGGAGGGCCTACAAGGAACTAGGGCCAAATCTCTTAATTAATCTAAATTGTCCATGATAGACCGGAAGCCAGATGAGAATCACTTGGCCTTTATGGGCAGGCTGAGAGAGGCGCTAATAAAACACATATCCTTATCCCCTGATTCAGATGAGGGACAGATAACACCAAAGTACAATTTATTACACAGGCATCTCCCAATATTAGAAGGAAACTGCAGAAGCAGGCTTTAGGACCAGACAGCACCTTGGAAAACCTCCTGAGGATGGCCACCTCGGTCTTTTATAACAGGGTTAAGGAGGAGGCCAAGGAGAAAGAGAAGAAACACAAAAGAAGGACAAAGGCTCTAGTAGCTGCTTTGCAGGCTTGCAAGATCCAGGATCCCTGAGGTGCATCTGCTAGTTGCTACCAGTGTGGCAAGTCAGGGCACTTTAAGAAGGAGTGCCCAGGGAGCAAGAAGAAGCCACCTCAACCCTGTTCAGCCTGTGGCAGGGACCACTGGAGATTGGAGTGCCCTTGGAGATGGAAGTCACTGGGTTAGGAGCCAGTCTCACAGATGGTCCAAAAGGACTGATAGGTTCCGGGGCTCAAAACCCTGGCACCAGCAGCTCAAACTGCCATTATTGCACAGGAGCCCCAGGTGATTCTGGAAATTGAAGGAAGAAGAGTAGACCTCCTTCTGGACATTGGAGTCAGCCTCTCTCTTTTCCTCTCTAATCCAGGCCTCCCCTCTTCCCATAGCATGACTGTGATGGGCATCTCAGGAAAGGTTCTAACCCAAAATTTTCCTCAACCTCTTAGTTTTAGTTGCGGGGGGGGTGGGGGGAGGCTACTATTTACACATGACTTCTTAATTATGCCTGAAAGTCTCACTCCTTTATTAGGTAGAGACATTTTAGCTTGCATGGGGTTGGCATCCTTATAGCCCTGGGACAGACTCTTTGTCTCTCCCTGGTGGAAGCTAATATTAATCCAGAAGTGTGGGCAACTCAAGGAAGAATAGGTTGAACTATAACTGCTAGGCCAGTCCAGATCCTTCTTAAGGATCCCACTTCTTTTCCTAACCAGAGAAAATATCCTCTAAAGCCAGAGGCTAGAAAAGGGCTAGAAGCCATTATTAATAACTTGAAAATGCAGGGCCTCTTCAAACCCTGTAACAGCCCTTTCAAATACTCCAGTATTAGGAGTGCAAAACCCCAATGGAGAATGGAGACTAGTTCAGTACCTCTGCCTCATTAATGAGACCATAGTCCCAATTTACCCAGTGGCCCCTAATCCTTATACCTTGCTGACTCAATTACCTGAGGGAACTAAATAGTTCACAGTCCTAGGTCTAAAAGTTACCTTTTTCTGTAGACTATTACCTCCTGACTCTCAATACCTGTTTTCCTTTGAAGATCTCTCTGGCCAAACTGCCCAGTTAACATGGATGGTGCTACCTCTGGGATTTTGACACAGTCCTCACTTGTTTGAAAAGGCACCATCAAAGGACCTTTCTGAGTTTTCGTATCCTGAGGTCAGAATCTTGCAATATGTAGATGACCTTCTGCTCTGTGTCCCAACTTAGGAAGCTTCTCAGGAAGACACAGAAGCTCTTCTTAATTTCTTAGCTGACAGAAGATATAAGGTTTCAAAGTCCAAGACCCAGCTTTGCCAAACCTCAGTAAAGTACCTGGGTTTAGTGTTGTCTGAAGGGACCAGAACATTAGGGGAAGAAAGGATTAAGCCCATTTCCTTCTTCCCCCTCCCTAACACCTTCAAGCAACTAAAAGGATGTTTGGGCATATAGGATTTTGCAGACTATGGATACCTGTGTACAGTGAGCTAGCTCACCCCTTATATCATCTCATAAAGGAGACCCAAGTGGCAAAAACTCATTTCCTAACTTGGGAACCTGAATCTCAAAAGGCCTTTAATCATCTAAAACAAGCCTTTCTTAAGGCATCAGCCTTCAGCCTTTCCGTAGGGAGGGCCTTCAATCTTTATGTATCAGAAAGGAAGTAAATGACCCTGGAAGTTTTAACTCAAGCTCAAGGACCAGCTCAACAGCCAGTGGCCTACCTGAGTAAGGAACTTGATTTGGTGGCTAAAGAATGGCCAGCATGCCTCTGAGCAGGGTTGCCATGGTGACCTTACTCGTACCAGAAGCCACCAAATTAAAACTCCCCTAGAAAATCCAGACTGGACCCTCTTTACGGATGGAAGTTCCTGTGTGGAGCAAGGAGTCCGTTAGGCAGGATATGTCGTAGTCACTCTGAATGATGTTATTGAAACTGCACCCATCTCTCCAGGCACAAGCACTCAACTAACTGAACTGATAGCTCTTACAAGAGCACTCAAATTAAGCAAGGGAAAAGTAACTAACATTGGCACTGACTCCAAGTATGCTTTCTTAGTCCTTCATGCTCATGCTGCCATCTGGAAGGAAAGGCACTTCTTTACAGCTAATGGGCTCTCTATAAAATACCATCAGGGGCCGGGCGCGGTGGCTCACGCCTGTAATCCTAGCACTTTGGGAGGCCGAGGCGGGCGGATCACGAGGTCAGGGGATCGAGACCACGGTGAAACCCCGTCTCTACTAAAAATACAAAAAATTAGCCGGGCGCAGTGGCGGGCGCCTGTAGTCCCAGCTACTCGGGAGGCTGAGGCAGGAGAATGGCGTGAACCCGGAAGGCGGAGCTTGCAGTGAGTGGAGATCGCGCCACAGCACTCCCGCCTGGGCGACAGAACGAGACTCCGTCTCAAAAAAAAAAAAAAAAAAAAAAAAAAAAAAAAATACCATCAGGAAATTAACAGGTTATTATCCTCTGTTTTCCTTCCACAAGAGACAGCAGTGATGCATTGTAAGGGACATCAGGGGGAACAGATGAAATAGCTGAAGGAAAAAAGTTAGCTGATCAGGCAGCCAAGTCAGCAGCAATTAAGCCTCAGGTTCTTAACACACTCAAAACCTCTCTAATCTGGGAAGGCTCTGTAAGAGAAATTAAGCCCCAGTACTCCCCTCCAGAAATAGAATGGCCATTTCTTGAGGGTACACTTTCCAGCCCTCAGGGTAGCTACAGTCAGAGGATGGCAAACTCCACTTGCCAGCCTGTAGTCAATAGAAAGTCCTTAAGACCCTCTCCTCTACCAAGCTTTTCACTTGGGAAAGGATAAAACTTATCAGTGTGCCCAGAGATTGTTTACAGGGGAGAACTTATTAAGAATAGTCAAATATGTTAATGCTTGTGAAGTCTGTCTTAAAAATAATCACCTCAACAGGCAGCTCCTTCCTCCTTAAATCCAAAGGATGGGAAGCTATCCAGGGGAAGACTGACAGATAGATTTTACCCACATGCCAAAGATGAAGGACATTCAATACCTCCTGGTATGGGTAGATACTTTCACTAACTGGGTAGAAGCATTTCCATGCTATACAGAAAAGTCGTCTGAGAATAAAAGTGTTAGTTAATGAAATAACTCCCCACTTTGGTCTACCTAAATACCTCCAAAGTGGCAATGGCCCCTCATTTAGGGCAGCCGTCACACAGGGGATCTCAAAGGCACTAGGCATACAGTATCATCTCCATTGTGCTTGGAGATCCCAGTCCTCAGGAAAGGTAGAGAAGACAAATGATATTATCAAAAGACACCTCAGAAAACTGTCCCAATAAACTCACCTTCCTTGGGTCACTCGTCTTCCCATGGCTTTATTGTGGGTAGGAAATACCCCTTCAAAGTTAGGTCTAAGCCCTTTCGAGATGCTGTATGGATGGCCTTTCCTTACCAGTGATTTTTTATTAGACCAGGAAACCTCTGAATTGGTTAAGCATGTAACCTCTCTGGCTCCCTTTCAACAGGAATTAACACAACTAGCAGAAGCCCAACCCCAAGAAACAAGGCCACCTTTATTTAACCCAGGAGATTTTGTATTGCTGAAAGCTCTCCCTTCTCTCTCTCCTTCCCTAAGCCCAAGCTGGGAAGAGCCCTACACTTTTCTTCTTTCAACCCCCTTGGCGGTAAAAGTTACAAAAATTGACTCCTGGATACATCACATTCAAGTCAAAGCCTGGAAGGCTGAGGGAGCAACTGCTGACAGCCTAGAGGAATGTCCCTGATATCAATGCAAAGAAATAGGAGATCTTAAGCTGAAAATCAGAAAAGATAAGTAAATGAGTAAGGGTTACTCATCCTACTAAGTCTCACCCCTAACTTATCAGATACTTCTGGTCATTTCTACATTTCCTCTCAAAATTCACTGTCAGATATTAGAACTTCTTTTTGGTGCATACTTGCAGGAAGATTTTGATTATCCATGGGATTAAATTTGTAAATTCATAAACCCCCCAAGGGAAATTCTATATCTTAGTCAGTAAAATTTTAGATGGAAATTATGTATTATGCCACTCTTGTGGGAACTGCTATACTCACTCTACTATTTGCAGTAGGACTATACACTGTGGCACCTGCAATGTGGAATTCTGGTTGCAAAATTTTAATTGCTGTAATATTCTGCCTAATTATCATGTTTGTAACAAGTAATTATATAATAATTACAGGAAAGATTTAGCCAAAATTAACACTAAAGTTACTCTAGCCACCCAATCCAATGTCACTTATCCTAAGAAAAACATTGCTTTTATATTAACGCTTCTGGTAAAGTACAGCGACATCTGGTGGAGGCAAACTAGTATTACAACCAATCGGAATGGCTAACAGCTGTCAAACCCTATTGTCATGGTTATGGCCTATACTACCCCCACTAATAATGGTAATCTTAATACTCATATTCGAGCCCTATATTCTAAATCTTCTTGTAAAATTTATCTCTTCTCACTTAGAAGTTATTAAACTCCAAATGGTGCTGCAGATGGAACCATGAATGGACACACCTTTCTTCTGAGGATGCTTAGATTGACCCCAGGAGGAGCCCTAGCTGTTTTTCCCCACACAACACCCCTTTTCAGCAGGAAGTAGCCAGAAAGAGTCGTCATCCAACACCCCCTAACAGCAGTTAGGGTTACCACTCCTGAGAGGGGAAATATGATAGAGGAGATAGAAAGGAATTATTTAGGCAGATAGTGAAGGTAAAAGAGTCCTCAGCAGGGCTTCCTTTTAAACAAAAAGCATCCCCCCAAATCGTTTCTTTTTTAACAAAGAGCAGTCTGAAAAATTGAGCTGCAAATATAGATAAGCAAGGTGGAAGCTTGCATGGGTGAATGCTGGAAGCTGTGCCAATAGAAAAGGGCTGCCTGGAGGACAGACATATCCAACATGGATGCTCCATCTTCCCTTTGTTTGTTACCACATGTACAATAAAGAAACAGGCAACATGGCACCAGCAGGCATAGGATCCAATTGCATAATAAAAGATTAGGGTGGGGACAGCCAGCTTTTCGTGCCCTATGCAAACAGCACACCTAGCCTTAACCAGTTTTTCACACCTTACATAAATGGCACATCTAGTCCAACCAATCTTTTTTGCCCAATGTAAATCAGGCACCACCTCCTCACCGGGCTTCTATAAAACCCCCCTGCATTTTGCCACGGATCCAGCAACCCATTTTTTTGGGACCCCTCTCTGCTTCATAGAGCTCCTCTCTTTTGCCTATTAAACTTCTGATTTTAATCTTGCTCCTTGTGTGTTCACATCCTTGATTTTCTTGGCATGAGACAATGAACCTCAGGTATCACCCCAGTCAATGAGGCCACTTCATTACCTTCACCAACGCATTAAACAGAATCTCACTCTATATCCTAAATTATGTGACGTGAAGAAGACAAGCACTATTCCAACTGTGCTTGATAAGTGGTTTTTTCAAAGAAATAAGACAATTCTCAATATTACTAAGGTTTTAAATTACAGTGTACTAAATAAATATTAGTTTTACTGTTTTCCCTCACCATTTTCCTATATATTCATAACCAACAGTAAGATAGTTTTTAATGTCTTCACAAAAAAATTTTAAAGGTCACAGAACAATTGTGATTTCTCCATTGATAATTAAAATTACTTTACAGGGTTTCAGCATGCACAGTCACTTTTAGGGTCCCGTGCTACGGTGCAAAGCAAGGACTGCTAATACATGCACACACACACAACACATACACACGCACACACCCCACTGGCTTTGATTTGCTGTTACAGTTAGGCCTTGAACAACATGGGAGTTAGGGGCACCAACCCCTACATAGTTGAAAATCTGTGTATAACTTTTCACTCTCCCAAAACTTAACTTCTAGTATCTAGTGTTGACCAGAAGCCTTACCAATAACATCAAAAGTCAATTAACAAATACTTTTCCTGTTATATGTATTACATACTGTATCCTTACAATAAAGTAAGCTAGAAAAAAGAAAACGTTATTATGAAAATCATAAAAAAGAGAGAATATGTTTACTGTATTGTACTGTATTTATCAGTATGATAAGTTTGTGTTATCTGTTGACAAGATGAATTATGTATCTGAAATGGCTGGCAACCTCAGCTGCAGGACACTTTGAGGAGACGGCTGATTGCAGATCTAGGGCAGAGAATGAATAAGGTAAGCCTGGAATGACATGTTTTGCAGAAAGCAAGTAAGCACTCAAAGACTAATGAGGTCATGTCAAAAGGACACAGGAGCCAGTCTGGAAAGGCTTCCAGTAGCCAAAGTTGGGACAGTTGAGGATCAAAAAGAAAAAGGACTATAAATGATGGAAACACATAAAACATGTAAAAATCAACCTGTCTTTAACTTTACTGAGAAAAATCCAAAACAAAGCAAAACCTTGCTTACTAACATGGGGGTCACTGCTAGAGCAACTTCTTACTCTAGATATTGGTAGCTAAAGAAAAAGAATCAAACACATAGTCTGTCTTTCCAGTAGGGACTGTGTATCAGGACAACCCCATAGTCCCAGTTTTTAAGGGAAAGCTCTTCCTTACTGAAGACTGTCTGCTAAAAAACAGAAAGCGGCAGAGAACTGGATTGTCACAAAATAGTCCCACTCAGACCTAGAGCTGATTCCAAGGGAAAAATGTAACTTTATATTGGAGGAATCTGATAATCAGCCTCTTAGTCATCAAATCAACATCCCTAATGGTGGCAAATGCAGATGACATGTGCTGTCTCTGGATGTTATGTATGGTGACTTATACAGCATCATCTATGAGGTACTCTTGCCTAGGATGTTTACCCAGAATCTAATTACACCTTTAGAACTAACTTCAGCTTACAGAAAATGCAGAGGATATAGGGAGAAAATGAAATAAAGCCATAAAGAAATTGATAAATCCCAAATGTGTCTGTTCTACAAGGCAGTTTAATTGTTTCTCCAGCAAGATAATAAAGGGAGGGGTTGTCTGTTCTTAATTAAAAGAGACTTAAGAGGCACATTAATCAAATGTAATGTATGGTACTTCATTGGACATTGGTTTGAATAAACACATTATAGAGCTCATTTTGGGGAGATCACTGGAAAATTTGAATATAGACTAGGTATTAAGTGATATTAGGAGACTATTATGAATTTTATTAGAAATAAATAAATTTTATTAGCAATAAATAAATAGCACAAAAACTTCCTTTTCAAGATGCATAATAAAATACATAGGGGTATGATATTGTAAGACAACATGTAAGATCTGTTATTTACTCTAAAATGCTTTAGCAGAAGAAAACTGAAAGGAATTAATATGGCAAAATATTAACAATTTTAAATTTAAAATGATGAGTATATGAGTGTTCATGATGCAGTTTTCTCCACTCTTCTTTATGTTTGAAACTTTCAAAAATAAAAAATATCCATTTTGAAACCAAAGATGTCTGATGACTAAAATGTCTGGCTGCCTGAGTGTGTTGGTTTGTCTTTCAGATTTGTGGAGAGGGAATTGGGTTCCTGGTTAAAGTGATAGGATTGTTTCATCATTGGCTATGATCTGAAGCCCTTAACCACAAAGTTGGAAAGCCAGCAAGACAATTGTCCTGGACACTGATTACTGGGTGTCACTGTGCACCTAAGGACTTCTTCCTTAGCTTCGTCCTGCCCTGATGCTCTGAGGTCTCTCTCACTGGAGGTCAAACTGTCCTGGACAAAGTCCCTTAAGCAGTGAAGTATTTTAGATGACCTTTCACCACTTGGACCCACTCTGTCCCCTGCCCCCACCCCATTAGGGAGGTTCAACTGAGATGAGTTTTCTATTGCGTCCAGGTCTGAGAGTCATTTATCCTCACTTACCTGTGTCTCTGACTACAGAAACTGACTGAGATACTTGATAGAAACTTGGGGCTAAGGAGAAAGCAAAAAGTTCCATTCATAGAATTAAATCACTCTCTATCTTTCCCTGAAACCCTAGATTTGAGGGAAACAGAGACTTTGGTATTTAAATAGTTGATACTCTATTTTTTAATTAAATTTTTTGTACGTTTTTATTTTTTTAACTGACAGATAAAATTGTATGTATCCGTTATGTAGAACATGATGTTTTGAAGTATATATACATTGTGGAATGGTTAAATCTATCTAATTAATAAATGTACTACTTCACATAGCTATCGTTTTTCTGGTGAAAACACTCACTTTTTTGTGTTTTTAAGAATACAATATATTGTTATTAACTATAGTCACCATACTATACAATAGGTCTATTGAACTTATTCCTCCTATCTAACTGTAATTTTGTATCCTTTAACTAACATCTCCCAAACCCACCCTCCCCTCCAACCACCCCAGCCCACCATTCCACTCTCTACTTCTACAAGATCAACTTTTTTTAGGTTCCACATATGAGTGAGACAATGCAGTATTTGTCTCTCTGTGCTGGCTTATTTCACTTAACATAATGTCCTCCATGTTCATTCATGTTGTCATAAATGCCAGAATTTCCTTCTTTTCTGGCTAAATAGTATTCTTTTGTGTGTATATATCATATTTTCTTTATCCATTCATCTGTTGATTAATACTTAGGTTGATTTCATATCTTGGCTATTGTGAATAATGCTGCAATAAACATGGGAATTTAGGTATCATTTTGACAGGTCACTTCCAAGATGGCCAAATAGGAACAGCTCTGGTCTGCAGCTCCCAGTGAGACTGATGCAGAAGATGGATGATTTCTGCATTTCCAACTGAGGTACCTGGTTCATCTCATTGGAACTGGTTGGATAGTGGTTGCAGCCCACAGAGGGCAAGATGAAGTAGGGAGGGGCATTGCCTCACCTGGGAAGCACAAGGGTCAGGGGATTTCCCTTTCATAGCCAAGAGAAGCCGTGACAGACTGTACCTGGTGAAACGGTACACTCCTGACCAAATACTGCACTTTTCCCACAGTCTTAGCAACCAGCAGACCAGGAGATACCCTCCCGTGCCTGGCTTGGCAGTTCTCATGCCCATGGAGGCTTGCTTACTGCTAGTGCAGCAGTCTCAGATCGACCTGTGACTCTGCAGCTTGTTGGGAGGGTGGGGCATCCACTATTGCTGAGGCTTGAGTAGCTCACAGTGTAAACAAAGAGGCTGGGAAGCATGAACTGGGTGGACCCACCACAGCTTAGCAAGGCCTACTGCCTCTCTAGATTCCACCTCTGGGGGCAGGACATAGTAGAACAAAAGGAAGCAGACAGCTTCTGCAGACTTAAACGTCCCTGTCTGACAGCACTGAAGAGAGCAGTGGTTCTCTCAGCACAGCATTTGAGCTCCGAGAACAAACAGACTGCTTCCTCAAGTGGGTCCCTGATCCCCATGTAGCCTGACTGGGAAATACCTCCCAGTAGGGGCCAACAGACACCTCAAACAGTCGGGTGCCCCTCTGGGATGAAGCTTCCAGAGAAGGATCAAGCAGCAATATTTGCCGTTCTGGAGTCCCCACTGGTGATACCCAAGCAAACAGCGTCTGGAGTGGACCTCCAGCAAACTCCAGCAGACTGCAGCTGAAGGGTCTGACAGTTAGAAGGAAAACTAACAAACAGAAAAGAATAGCATCAACATCAACAAAAAGGACATCCACATCAAAACCCCATCTGTAGGTCACCAACATCAAAGACCAAAGGTAGATAAAACCACAAAGATGGGGAGAAACCAGAGCAGAAAAGCTGAAAATTCCAAAAAAACAGAGCACCTCTTCTCCTCCAAAGAATCACGCTCCTTGCCAGCAAGGGAACAAAACTGGATGGAGAATGACTTTGACGAGTTGACAGAAGTAGACTTCAGAAAGTCAGTAATAACAAAGTTCTCCGAGCTAAAGGAGCCTATTCTAACCCATCGCAAGGAAGCTAAAAACATCGAAAAATGGTTAGATAAATGGCTAACTAGAATAAACAGTGTAGAGAAGACCTTAAATAACCTGATGGAGCTGAAAACCACAGCATGAGAACTTTGGGATGCATGCACAAGCTTCAATAGCTGATTTGGTGGAAGAAAGGATATCAGTGATTGAAGATTACATTAATGAAAAAAAGCAAGAAGACAAGATTAGAGAAAAAAGAGTGAAAATAAATGAACAAAGCCTCCAAAAAATATGGGACTATGTGAAAAGACCAAATATACGTTTGATTGGTGTACTGGAAAGTGACGGGGAGAATGGAACCAAGTTAAAAAACACTCTTCAGGATATTTTCCAGAACTTCCCTAACCTAGCAAGGCAGGCCAACATTCAAATTCAGGAAATACATAGAACACCACAAAGATACTCTTTGAGAAGAGCAACCCCAAGACACATAATTGTCAGAATCACCAAGGTTGAAATGAAGGAAAAAATGTTAAGGGCAGACAGAGAGAAAGGTCGGATTGCCCACAAAGGGAAGCCCATCAGACTAACAGCAGATCTCTCAGCAGAAACCCTACAGGCCAGAAGAGAGTGGGGGCCAATATTCAACATTCTTAAAGAAAAAAATTTTCAACCCAGAATCTCATATCCAGCTAAACCAAGCTTCATAAGTGAAGGAGAAATAAAATCCTCTACAGACAAGCAAATGCTGAGAGATTCTGTCACCACCAGGCATGCTTTACAAAAGCTCCTGAATGAAGCACTAACATGGAAAAGAGCAACCAGTACCAGCCACTGCAAAAACATGCCAAATTGTAAAGACCATCGATGCTATGAAGAAACTGCATCAATTAATGGACAAAATAACCAGCTGGCATCATAATGACAGGATCAAATTCAAACATAACAATATTAACCTTAAATGTAAATGGGCTAAATGCCCCAATTAAAAGACACAGACTGGCAAATTGGATAGAGTCAAGACCCATTGGTGTGCTGTATTCAGGAGACCTATCTCACATGCAAAGACGCACATAGGCTCAAAATAAAGGGATGGAGGAAGATCTACCAAGCAAATGGAAAGCAAAAACAAACAAACAAACAAACAAAAAAAAACAGAGGTTGCAATCCTAGTCTCTGATAAAACAGACTGTAAACCAAAAAAGATCAAGAGAGACAAAGAAGACCACTACATAATGGTAAAGGGATCAATTCATCAAGAAGAGCTAAATATCCCAAATATATATGCACCTAATACAGGAGCACCCAGATTCATAAAGCAAGTCCTTAGAGACCTACAAAGAGACTTAGTCTCCCATGCAATAATAATGGGAGACTTTAACACCACACTGTCAATATTAGACAGATCAGTGAGACAGAAGGTTAACAAGGATATCCAGGACTTGAACTCAGCTCTAGACCAGGTAGACCTAATAGACATCTACAGAACTCTAAACCCCAAATCAACAGAATATACATTCTTCTCAGCACCACATCACATTTATTCTAAAATTGACCACATAATTGGTAGTAAAGCACTCCTCAGCAAATGTAAAAGAACAGAAATCACAACAAACTGTCTCTCAGAGCACAGTGCAATCAAATTAGAACTCAGGATTAAGAAACTCACTCAAAACTGCACAACTACATGGAAACTGAACAACCTGCTCCTGAGTGACTACTGGGTGAATAAAGAAATGAAGGCAGAGATAAAGATATTCTTTGAAACCAATGAGAACAAAGGCACAATGAACCAGAATCTCTGGGACACATTTAAAGCAGTGTGTAGAGGGAAATTTATAGCACTAAATGACAAGAGAAAGCAGGAAAGATCTAAAATTGACAGCCTAACATCACAATTAAAAGAACTAGAGAAGCAAGAGCAAACAAATTCAAAAGCTAGCAGAAGGCAAGAAATAACTAAGATCAGAGCAGAAGTGAAGGAGATAGAGACAAAAAAACCCTTCAAAAAATCAATGAATCCAGGAGCTGGTTTTTGGAAAAGATCAACAAAACAGACCACCAGCAAGACTAATAAAGAAGAAAAGAGAGAAGAATCAAAGAGACACAATAAAAAATGATAAAGGGGATATCACCACCGATCCCACAGAAATACAAACTACCATCAGAGGATACTATAAACACCTCTACACAAACTAGAAAATCTAGAAGAAATGGATAAATTCCTGGACACATACTCCCTCCCAAGACTAAACCAGGAAGAAGTTGAATCTCTGAATAGACCAGTAACAGGTACTGAAATTGAGGCAATAAATAATGGCCTACCGACCAAAAAAAGTCCAGGACCAGATGGATTCACAGCCGAATTCAACCAGAGGTACAAGGAGGAGCTGGTACCATTCCTTCTGAAACTATTCCAATCAACAGAAAAAGAGGGAATCCTCCCTAACTCATTTAGCATCATCCTGATACCAAAGCCTGGTAGAGGCACAACAAAAAAGAGAATTTTGGGCCAATATCCCTGATGAACTTCGATGCGAAAATCCTCAATAAAATACTGGCAAACCAAATCCAGCAGCCCATCAAAAATCTTATCTACCATGATCAAGTGGGCTTCATCCCTGGGATGCAAGGCTGGTTCAACATATGCAAATCAATAAACGTAATCCATCACATAAACAAGACCAACAACAAAAACCACATAATTATCTCAGTAGATGCAGAAAACGCCTTTGACAAAATTCAACAGCGCTTCATGCTAAAAACTCTCAATAAACTAGGTATTGATGGAACATATCTCAAAATAATAAGAGCTATTTATGACAAACCCACAGCCAATATCATACTGAATGGGCAAAAACTGGAAACATTCCCTTTGAAAACCAGCGCAAGGCAAGGATACCCTCTCCCACCACTCCTATTCAACATAGTATTAGAAGTTCTGGCTAAGGCAATCAGACAAGAGAAGGAACATGATTGTATCTTTAGAAAACCCCATCTTCTCAACCCAAAATCTCCTTAAGCTGATAAGCCACTTCAGCAAAGTCTCAGGATACAAAATCAATGTGCAAAACATCACAAGCATTCCCAGACACCAATAACAGACAAACAGAGCCAAATCATGAGTGAACTGGCATTCACAATTACTACAAACAGAGTAAAATACCTAGGAATCCAACTTACAAGGAAAGTGAAGGACCTCTAACTATAAGCCACTGCTCAACAAAATAAAAGAGGACACAAACAGATGGAAGAACATTCCATGCTCATGGATGGGAAGAATCAATATCATGAAAATGGTCATACTGCCCAAGGTAATTTATAGATTCAATGCTATCCCCATGAAGCTACCACTGACTTTCTTCACAGAATTGGAAAAAACTACTTTAAAGTTCATATGGAACAAGAAAAGAGCCCGCTTAGCAAAGACAATCCTAAGCAAAAAGAATAAAGTTGGAGGCATCACACTACCTGACCTCAAACTATACTACAAGGCTACAGTAACCAAAACATCATGGTACTGGTACCAAAACAGATATATAGACCAATGGAACAGAACAGAGGCCTCCGAAATAACACCACACATCTACAACCATCTGATCTTTGACAAACCTGATAAAAACAAGAAATGGGGAAAGGATTCCTTATTTAATAAATGGTGCCGGGAAAACTGGCTAGCCATATGTAGAAAGCTGAAACTGGATCCCTTCCTCACACTGTATACAAAAATTAACTCAAGGTGGATTAAAGAGTTAAATGTCAGATCTAAGACCATAAAAACCTTAGAAGAAAACCTAGGCAATACAATTCATGACATAGGCATGGGCAAAGACTTCATGACTGAAACACCAAAAGCAATGGCAACAAAAGCCAAAATTGACAAATGGGATCTAATTAAACCAAAGAGCTTCTGCACAGGAAAAGAAACTATTATCAGAGTGAACAGGCAACCAACAGAATGGGAGAAAATTTTTGCAATCTACCCATCTGACAAAGGGATAATATCCAGAATCTACAAAGAACTTAAACAGATTTACAAGAAAAAAATAACTCCATCAAAAAGTGGGCAAAGGATATGAACAGACCCTTCTCAAAAGAAGACATTTATGCAGCCAACAGACATATGAAAAAATGCTTATCATCATTGGTCATCAGAGAAATGCAAATCAAAACCACAATATGATACTATCTCACACCAGTTAGAATGGCGATCATTAAAAAGTCAGGAAACAACAGATGCTGGAGAAGATGTGGAGAAATAGGAATGCTTTTACACTTTTGATGGGAGTGTAAATTAGTTCAACCATTGTGGAAGACAGTGTGGTGATTCATCAAGGATCTAGAACTAGAAATAGCATTTGACCCAGTAATTCCGTTACTGGGTATATACCCAAAGGATTATAAATCTTGCTACTATAAACACTCATGCACACGTATGTTTATTGCGACAGTATTCACAATAGCAAAGACTTGGAACCAACCCAAATGTCCATCAATGATAGACTGGATAAAGAAAATGTGGCACGTATATACCATGGAATACTATGCAGCCGTAGAAAAGATGAGTTCATGTCCTTTGCAGGGACATGGATGAAGCTGAAAATCATCATTCTAAGCAAACTATCCGAAGGACAGAAAACCAAACACCACATGTTCTCACTGATAGTTGGGAGTTGAACAACGAGAACAGATGGACACAGGGTGGGGAACATCACACACTGGGGCCTGTTGGGGGATGGGGGATGGGGGAGGGATAACATTAGGAGAAATACCTAATGTAAATGATGAGTTGATGGGTGTGGCAAACCAACATGGCACATGTATACCTACATAGCAAACCTGCACATTGTGCAAATGTACCTAAGAACTTAAAGTATATATATAAAAAAGATATCATTTTGACATATGAATTTTATTTCTTTTGGATCTATTCCCTGTAGTGGGATAGCTAAATGAGATAGTAGTTCTATTTTTAGTTTTTTGATAAAACTCCATACTGTTTTCTGTAATGGTTGTAGTAATTTACATCCCCCACCAACAGTGTGTTAGGGTTCCCTTTTCTCCATGTGTTCACCAACACTTACATTTTGTCTTTTTGATAAGTCATTCTAACAGGTGTGAGGTGATATCTCGTTGTTTTGCTTTGCAGTTCTTTGATAATTAGTTATATTGAGCATTTTTTTCATATACCTATTGGCCGTTTGTATGTCTTCTTTTGATTAATGTCTTCTTTTGAGTATATTAAGGTCCTTTAACCATTTTTAAGATTGGGTTATTTGTTTTCTTGCTATTGAGTTGTTTGAGTTCCTTATATATTTTAGATATTAAGCCCTTGTTATATGTATAGTTTTCAAATATTTTCTCCCATTCTATAGGTTGTCTCTTTACTCTGTAGATTACTTCCTTCACCATGCATAAACTTTTTAGTTTGATGTAATCCCATTTGTCTATTTTTGCTTTTGTGCCTATGGTTTTGAGGTCATATCCAAAAAAATCATTGCTCCGACAGATGCCATGAAGGTTTTCTCCTATGTTTCCTTCTAGCAGTTTTATAGTTTTGGATTTTAAATTTAAGTCTTTAATCCATTTTGGGTTAATTTTTGCATATGGTAAAAGATAAGGGTCTAATTTCATTCTTCTGCATGTGGATATCCAGATTTCCCAACACCATTTATTGAAGAGACTGTCATTTTCCCATTGTATATCTTTGGCACTTTTGTTAAAAATCAGTTGACTGTAAACGTGTGGATATATTTCTGGCTTCTCTTACTGTTTCATTGGTCTATGTGTCTGCTTTCATGCCAGTAACATGCTGTTTTTGTTGCTATAGCTTTGTAGTATATGATATTAAGTTTTGAACCTCATTGTACTATACACAGATTCACTACAGGGTATAACTGAGAATACAGGAATTCTAGCCCACCCTCTTATTTTACAGATGAAGATAGGCACAGAGAAAGTAAGGAGTTTGCCTAAGAGTGGTAGAGCTGGGCCTAGAATTCACCTGAGCTCAAGCTTTTTCAACCTATCAATTTCAAGCTATTTTCTACCAGATTGTCCCCAAATTCTTTGCCTCCACCCAGATCCTTTCTTGATGCTACAAGAAGTTTTCTAGATATTTCTGCCCCCATGCATCTTGTGACCTACTTTGATAAAGATTTAAAAAAACTAGATTGGAAGATGGTGGATTGGAGGCAGTGTTAGCATGCCTCTCTGACTTGGAAAGACAAAATAGTGTGTAGAGATTCACACTATGAACTTTTTTTCCAAGAAGCAATGCAGGAATTTAACAAAAAAACTGAAGGAAACCACAGACCCTTTGAAAGAAGTAGCAGACTACAGCCTACTCTGTGAGCCAGGCAAAAATCTGTAAGTCCCCAGAGTGTTAGAGGGTGAAAGACTGCCTCCAAGATACAGATCCCTACCAGGGAATCTGACAATCCAAGTCCTGAGGGAGGGCCTTAACCCTACTGAGGGCTGGAACTGATTTAGGGAGTGGTGAAAAATATATAAGGAGCAGCAGCAGGAAGAGCATTGTGTGCATTCCCAGTCTCCAGTGCAGACTAAGGGAAGCCATTTCTGATTCTACCTCACAGGAGATTTTATGGAAGTCTGCTAGCTAACGCAGGCAGTGGTTGTAGTTTGAGAGAAACTCCCAACTGAAATTTGCAATATAATCTCGAGTGATGATGAACTCCTCTTGCCAGAATTGTGGGGGAGAGAGGCCAGAATGTGGGGGAGAGTGGGAAGTGTGCTGCAGCCATGTCTGGAGGAGCTGGATACCCTGGCTTTTTGAGCAAACTGGGAGGGGAATGGCCTGAAAACCAAGGTTGTTGTCTCCCCTGTGAAGGCATATGGCCTGGGGCAGTTTTGAGTTTTGAGTGTAGACTGCCTGAAACTTACCTAGTTGCTGCTAGCAGAACACTGCAGGTATGAGAACTGCCTTGCCAAGTGCATGGGAGCAGGGTGGGGCTTACTGGCACCTGCTACCCCCGTTTCCTGAGAGAACTCTTCTGTGCAGCTGAGGCAGCCAAGCTTCTCCCTGGAACATTACCCCAGTGGCCAGAGAACCACCCCCTGGCCCCTACAGGGACCACTGCTTGCCCTGAATGTGGACAGCCAGAGCGCAGACCTGCCTGACCCAGCCCCCATCTGGCTTTGCCTCTGCACTCGCCCTGATAGCTTAACACAAAGGACAGAACTGTTTGGTGGCTTTATAGCCCCACCTATCGCCTGAAAAACCAGAGTGCCACTCCTGGGTAACATAAGGCAAGCATAAATCCCACTGCTACTACCACAGCTGGTGCTATTTTACAAGGGCCACCTCCTGGCCAGAGGTCAGCTAACAATTAACCTCAGCTATCACCACTGTCTTTACCACTCTGGCTAACCAGGAGGTCCCAAGTCTGTCCATGTGACCAGTACATTGCTACTGCAACCAGCATTTAAGAAAACCAACAATATAAGGCTATTTATAACCAAGGAACCTCACAGAGTCTACATCACTGCCCTGCCACCCCCATGAGAGCTGGTGCTGGTACCTACTGCTGGGAGACTTGAGGACAGATCACATTACTGAATCCCTTGCAGACATTCCCCAGCACCAGCCTGGAGTGTGGCAGCCCCACCAAACAGCTAGACCCAGAGGAGCAGCAGCATTCACAGTAATCTGGTTCTCAGGGACTCCTACTCCTAAGGGAAGGGGGAGTGCGCCACATCAAGGGAACACCCTGTGGGACAAAAGAATCTGGATGGAAGGCCTTGAGTCCTAAATCTTTCCATTGGTGGGAAGTTCCTTTCAGCAGAGGCACAGTTGTAGTGCTGGGCTCAGTGGGGAAAGTCTGCAGCTCTACTCCAACAGTCAGGCAGTCCTGGTACTCCTGAAGAATCTTGGAGAAGGGGACTTATTTTTCCCCCATCCACCACTGCAGACATAGCTGAGGGTTCTCCCATGGGCACTCAGGATGGGTGCACATATAGACAGCCTTTCTGGAACACTTTAAGGTGACTGCATTCACACAGGAGGAGCACTCTTCAGGTTCAGGCTTGCATGGGAGATAGGGTCACAATTCCTCTCTACTTGGAACATCAACATTTCTGCAGATGAAAATAGGTGCCTGTCTGGTCTGAATAGCCAGAACTCTGGGTCAAGAGTGTGCCTGGGAGGTAGATTGCTTTCCTGCTGGCCTGGCAGGGAAGCTGAGGTGGCTTCCATCCTCCCCATCAATAAGATCTCAGTGAATTTAACTGAGAGCTTCCCTGGCCCCTCTGTTGAGGCTGGGATCTCTGCCCACCATTGTGTATTGCGTTTATTCACCTGCTTTAGCCACAACTGGTTTCTACCAAGGAACACCTCCCCTACTGGCCTGAAGTATGAACTGTTCAACCCAGTAAATAAAATACTGGGGAAAAATAAATAAATAAGTGCACACCATGGAAGAATGAGATAAGCTTCAAGAGACCGCTGCCATTTCAATCCCATAGGGGATTGTGAAGTTTCTCACATACCAAGGATATTGCTACTATAACAAGCATCTGACAAAACCATCATATGAAGATTCCTTATAGCCGAGGAACTCATACAGCGTCTTCACCCTTGAAAGCACCAAGAGCTGAATTAGGCTACAATAAACTACATGCATTAAAGTCACATCCTTAAGAGGGAAAATTTAATTTAAAAAAACACAGTCAAACCAAAAGTAAATTCAAGAATAATTAGAAGAAATAGTAAACCCAAATGAGAAGGAGCCAGAAAAGTAATTCTGATAATATGACAAAGCAGGGTTCTATAACACCCCTAAAAGATCATACTAGCTCTCCAGCAATGGATCCAAACCAAGGTGACAACTTTGAAATACTAGACAAAGTATTCAAAAGGTTGATTATTAAGCCACTCAAAGAGATACCAGAGAAAGCTGAAAACCAACATAAAAAATTAAAAAAACAATTCAGGACATGAATAAAATTTTTCTAAAGAGATATTTTAAAGAAAAGCCAGTCAGAACTTCTTGAAATGAAAACCACATTTAGGGAATTACAAAATGTAGTGGAAAGTTTTAACAACAGACTAGAACAAGAAGAAGAAAGAATTTCAGAACTTGAAGCAAGGCTTTAGAATTAACCCAATCAGACAAAAATAAAGAAAAAATGAATCAAAAGAAATAAACAAATTCTCCAAAAAATATGGGATTATGTAAAATGACCAAACCTAAGAAAAATTGGTGTTTCTGAGGGAGAAGAAAAAGCAAATGGTTTGGAAAACTTATTTGAGGGAATAAATGAGGAAAATCTCACTGGCCTTGCTAGAGATTTAGATATGAAAATGCAAGCAGCTCAAAGAACTCCTGGGAGATTCATTGTAAAAAGGACATCACCATATAGTCACCAAGCTATCTAAAGTCAACACGAAGGAAAGAATTCTAAGAGTAGTGAGACCAAAGCATCAGACAACCAATAAAGCAAAAGCTAAGTTTCTACTTCTCAGTAAAAACTTACAAGCCAGAAGGGATTTTAATTTATCTTTAGCTTTCTTAAACAGAGCAACTGTCAGCCAAGAATTTTGTATTCAGCAAAACTAATTTTCATAAATGAAGGAGAAATAAAGTCATTTTCAGACAAACAAATGCTGAGTAAATTTGTCACTATCAGAGAAGCCCTACAAGAAATGCTAAAAGAAGTTTCAAATCTTGAAACAAAAGCTCAGTATGCACCAGAATAAAATCTCTTGAAAGCATAAAACTCACAGGAGCTATAAAACAGTAACACAATGAGTAAAACAAAGTGGGTAACAACTAACATGATGACTGGAACAGTACCTCACATCTCAATATTAATATTGATTGTAAATGGCCTGAATACTCCACTTAAAAGATACTGATTGGTTGCATGGATAAAAAAAAAATTGCAAACCTAATATCTGCTGCCTTCAAGAGACTCACCTAACATATAAGAATTCATATAAACTCAAGGTAAATGGGTGGGAAAAGATATTCCATGCAAATGGAAACCAAAAGTGAGCATGAGTAGCTATTATTATATCAGATAAAACAGACTTTAAAGGAACAAAGGTAAAAAAAGACAAAGAAGGTCATTAAATAATGCTAAAAGGATCAATCCCACAAGAAGATATTACTATCCTAAATTTATATGCACCTAACATTGGAGCTCCCAGATTAGTAAAACAATTACGCTAGACCTAAGAAATGAGATAACAGCAACATAATAATAGTGGGGGACTTCAACACTCCACTGACAGCATTAAACAGATCATCAAGACAGAAAGGCAACAAAGAAACAGTGGAATTAAACTACACTCTAGAACGAATGGACCTAACAGATATTTACAGAACATTTTACCCAACAACTGAAGAATATACATTCTTCTCTTCACCACATGGAATGTTCTCCAAGATTGGTCATGTGATAGGCCACAAAACAAGTCTCAATAAATTAAGAAAATCAGAATCATATTAAGTATTTTCTCAGACCACAGTGGAATAAAACTAGAAATCAACTCCAAAAGAAATACTCAAAACTATATAAATACATAAAAATTAAACAACCTGCTCCTGAATAATTTTGGGGTTAACAATGAAACAAAGATGGAAATTTAAAATATTCCTTGAAACGAATGATAATAGCAACCTAAGTTATCAAAACCTCTGGGATACAGCAAAAACAGTGCAAAAAGGAAAGTTTATAGGGCTAAATGCCTACATTGGAAAGCCTGAAAGATCACAAACTGACAATATAATGTCACTTCTCAAGGAACTAGAGAAACTAGAACAAACTAAAGCCAAAGCTGGCAGAAGAAAAGAAATAACAAAGATCAGAACAAAACTAAATTAATTTGAAACAAAAAATACAAAAGATCAATGAAACAAAAAGTTGGTTCTTTGAAAAGATAAACAAAATTGATAGATCATTAGCTATGTTAACCAAGAAGGGAGAAGATTCAAATAAGCTCAATTAGAAGTGAAACTGGAGACATTACAACGAAAACCACACATATACAAAAAATCATTTAAGACTACTATGAACACTTCTATGCACACAAACTAGGAAACTAGAGGAAATAAATTCTTGGAAACATGCAACCCTCCTACATTAAATTAGGAAGAAATAGAAAGCATGAACACACCAATAACAAGCAGTGAGATTGAACTAGTAATAAAAGAAAAATTGCCAACAACAGCAGCAGCAGCAGCAGCAGCAGCAACAACAACAACAACAACAACAACAACAAAAGCCCAGGACAAAATGGATTCACAACTGAATTCTGCCGGACATCCAGAGAAGAATTGGTATGAATCCTACTGAAACTATTCCAAAAAATTGAGAAAGAATGAATCATCTCTAAACCATTCTATGAAGCCAGTATCACCCTAATGCCAAAAACAAGGAAAGTACATAACAAAAAAAAGAAAACTATAGACAAATATCCCTAATAAACGTAGATGCAAAAATCCTCAACAAAATACTAACCAAATCCAATAGCACATAAAAAAGATAATACACCATGATCAAGTGGGTTTCATCCCAGGGATGCAAGGATGTTTTAACATACATGAGTCAATAAATATGATACATCACATAGAATTAAAAAAAACAAAAACAAAACCATATGATCATCTCAATAGATGCAGAAAAAGCATTTGATAAAATCCACATTCTTTCATGGTGAAAACCCTCAACAAACTAGGCATAGAAGGGACTTACCTCAAAATAGTAAAAGCCATATACAACAAACCCACATCCAACATCATACTGAATGGAGAAAAGTTGAAAGCATTCCCCCACACTTAGAATTGGAATAAGACAAGAATGCCCACTTTCATCATTTCTGTTCAACATAGTATTGGAAATACTAGCAAGAACAATCAAGCAAGAGAAGGAAATAAAGGGCATCCAAAATGGAAAAGAGGAAGTCAAATTATTGCTCTTTGCTGATGATATGATTATATACCTAGAAAACCCCAAAGACTTATTCAAAAGACTCCTATATTTGATAAATGAATTTAGTAAAGTCTCAGGTTACAAAATCAATGTACACAAAGTAGTATCACCGCTATATACCAACAACAACCAAGCTGAGGATCAAATCAAGAACTCAATTTTTTTTACAACAGCTGAAAAAAAAGACCTAGGAATACACTTAGTCAAGGAGGTGAAAGATCTCTATGAGGAGAACTATAGAACACTGCTAAAAAAATAATGGATGGCAAAAACCAATGGAAACACATTGACATTATGGATTTGAAGAATCAATATTATGAAAATGACCATATTACCTAAAGCAATCTACAGATTCAATGCAATTCCTATCAAAATACCAACATAATTTTTCATAAAATTAGAAAAAACAATTCTGAAATTCATATGAAACCCAGAAAGAGCCCAAATAGCCAAAGAAATCCTAAGCAAAAAGAACAGATCTGGAGGCATCACATTACCAAACTTCAAATTATACTACTAAGGTATAGTTACCAAAACAACATGGTATAAAAGTAGACACGTAGACCAATGAAAAATAACAGAGAACCCAGAAATAAAGCCAAATACTTACAACCAACTGATCTTTGACCAAGCATACAGAAATATAAATTGAGGAAAGGACACTCTATTTAATAAATGGTGCTGGGAAAACTGGATAGCCACATGTAGAATAATGAAACTGGATCACTATTTCTCACCTTATTAAAAAATAAACTCAAGATGGATCAGAGACCTTCAGATCTTAAGTCCAAGACCTGAAACCGTAAAAATCCTAGAAGGTAACCTAGGAAAACCTCTACTGAACATTGGCCTAGGCAAAGAATTTATGACTAAGACCCCCAGAACAAATGCAACTAAAGCAAAAATAAATAAATGGAACCTAATTAAACTAAAAGCTTCTGTACATCAAAAGAAATAATCATCAGAATAAACAGACAACTCACAGAGTAGGAGAAAATATTTGCAAACTGTGCATCTGACAAAGGACTAATATCCAGAATCTACAAGGAACTCACACAAATCAGCAAGAAAAAAAACCCACAAATAATCCCATCAAAAAGTGGACAAATGACATGAATAGACATTTCTTCAAAGAATATATACAAATGGCCAACAAACATATGAAAAAATGCTCAACATCACTAATCATCAGATAAATGCAAATTAAAACCACAATGAGACACTATCTTACCCCTGCAAGAATGGCCATCATTAAAAAGTCAAAAAACAGTAGATGTTGGTATGGTTGTGGTAAAAAGGGAACAATTAGATACTGCTGGTGGGAATGTAAATTGGTACAATCTCTATGGAAAACAGTATAGAGACTTCTTAGAGAATTAAAAGTAGATCTACATTTGATCCAGCAAACCCATTACTGGGTATCTACCCACAGGAAAATAGTCATTATAGAAAAAAGAGCCGGCGTGCATACATTTATTGGAGCACAATTCACAATTGCAAATATATGGAATGAACCTATGTGCCCATTGACCAATGAGTGGATAAAGAAAATGTGGTATGTATATATCATGGAAAACTACTCAGCCATAACAAATGAAATAATGTATTTTGCAGCAACTTGGGTAGAGCTGGAGGCCATTATTCTAAGTGAAGTAACTCAGGAATGGAAAATGAAATACCATATGCTCTAACTTATGAGACCTAAACTATGGTTACACAAAGGCATACAGAATGACATAATGGACTTTTGAGACTCAGAATGGGGAGGGTGGAAGCAGGGTGAAGGATAAAAACCTACATATTGGATACAATGTACACTACTTGGGTGATGGTTGCACTAAAATCTCAGACATCACCACTATGCAATTAATTTATTCATGTAACCCCAAACCACCTGTACTCCAAAAGCTATTGAAATAAAAACAAAAGAACTAGATTGTGCTTTAGTTGGAAAATTAAGGGTGAAATAGTAATGCAGGGCAGCATAGTAACACAAGGCAGCATATACACATGGCAAGTGAGTAATGAGTGCTGATGTCAGAGGATGCTTCTAGAAAAAGGCACAGAACTAGGCTGGTTGAGTCTTTAGGTGGTTTTTCAGTAGGTTCCTCAAATTATAGTCCTACAGGACAAGAAACTTGGTTTTTCCCATGTTTCCCGAGAGCACCGTACTGTCTAGGCCCAATCCACCCAAGTGACATTCTCAAGAGATTGCTGTGAAATACGGAAGGCCAATTTATTGGTTTTCAGGGGGGACTATGCATGTTTAGGGACCCAGATAGTTGTATCTTTATTCAGAGGATTCTCTCCCTAAAGAAGAGAGAGCGAAACCATCACCAGCATTTTGCCTGGTGATTTTTGAATCAGAGCAAAGGATACCAGATAGACTTAGAAGGAAGATTACCTTAATGTGACCAGACCCATCCACCCATCCTGTTCAGTGTCTTCACTGTAAGTCCTTTGGACTGGGTGGAATTAATACTACTCAAGCCTGCTATTTGAGTCCTCTTGCTTGCACATTTTAATACAATTGGTTATACAACAGGTTTTTTTTTTCAAATTTATTTATACTTTGATTTGATTCATAGGTCATTCTTCCTGCTTTGATCAAGCAATCATCATGTCCCTTTAGGTAAGGAGACCATCCATTTCATAAGAGTTTTGCCAGTCAATGTCTAGATGTTAACTCACTTTTAAGTTCCAGGGCATTCCACTGTAGCTCGCAGGTAGGCATCAAACAAATGAGAAGGGCTCTAGGACAGTGTTTCTAAGAAAGGGAACCTAACTGGGACTATGACTGTGAGAAGGTTTTCCTGGTTAAGAAGTAACTTAGGGAGCTCAGCTAAGGGTGAAATAGACCTGTCAGCCATTTCTCCATGCTAGACGCTAGCTCCTCTATCTCTGAAGGCCCCTTCTGAATAGAATTCTCATGTCACACATGACCTTGGCAGAATCATCTTTTTTTCTGGGAGCCCAGATGGAGTAAAATCATCTATAAAAGGTGCACAGAATGGAAGGCACATTTGGGGCAATGGCTATGACACATGGGGGCTTCTAGGCTTAATATTTTGCTAAGGGCTGTTTGGAAACACACCTTTGGCTGTGGCCTCTACAGTGTTTTCTCTAACTTGTCCTTTCTGCTAGTCTATTGGCTACGTTTAGAAATCTTGCTGAAGGAAAGTGTCGCATTATGAAACAATCACTGTTTTTGTGCTTTTAACATACTTTCCCCCCAGCCAGGATCTGTCTTTAAGGATGGGAGGTGTATCAGTCAGGGTTCTCTTATAAGGGAGTTTATTAAGTATTAACTCACACTATCACAAGGTCCCACAATAGGCTGTCTTGTAAGCTGAAGAGCAAGGAGAGCCAGTCCGAGTCCCCAGACTGAAGATGTTCGAGGGCAGGAAGCATCTAGCATGGGAGAAAGATGTAGGCTGGGAGGCTAGGCCCATCTTGCCTTTTCACATGTTTTTGCCTGCTTTATATTCTCTAGAAGCTAATTAGATTGTGCCCACCAGATTAAGTGTAGATCTGCCTTCCCCAGCCCACTGACTCAAATGTTAATCTTTTTGGTGACACTCACACAGACACACCCAGGATTAATACTTTGTATCCCTCAATCCAATCAAGTTGACAGTCAGTATTAACCATCGCAGGAGGAGAGCATGAGCTACCTTCCAGGTAAGAGCCACTTGACTTCAAGCCCTTTCTGTGTCAGGTTCCTTTTGGGGTCTGTACTCACTCTGGCACCACAGATTCTTATAAACACCAAAGGAAGCAGGTTTAGGGAAAGGAGATCTCTTGGAAAAAGCACAATGAGGCCCACAGTTGAGGCCCCCAAATGGCCACAGGCTTTTCTCTGAAGAAGCCATGGAGCTCCCTCCTGATGATAAAGCTAGCTCAGCTTGGACGTCAAGCATGGCTCTGGGGCACTGAGCCCAGAATTTGACCTTTGTTCAAGAACAGAGATCCCAGATGCTGGCTCCCAGGACTGTGCCTGTCCACAGTGATGTTTTCACTGAGATGCAGTGAACTGTCAGTGTCTGGTCATCAACTGTTTTTTTCTAGAATGGAAAAGACTTTCTTTTATTCTGTAATAGTATTTATCTACTTTTTAATGTCAAAAATATTATTTCTTGTATGAAATTATTATAATGGCAAACATTAGCTTTTTTAAAAAAATATTCAATTAGCAAAGTAAACAGTTGGCAATCCTTGGGTCTTAATTTTTAAGAAAATTAAATTTAATTTGTGAACCTCTCGTTTTGACCAAGGAAAAACTGGTTTCTCAGAGGCTGGGGATTGATTAGTAGGAGGGTTTTTTAGAAAAGGTGGGTTTAAAGCTCCGTGCTTCTAGATTCATTCATCTCCCAGTCCTTCCTTGAACTGTTCCTTTCTTAGACCTCATCTTCCCTTAGCTCTGACCCAGTTTCCTCATTGTGCAGACCTGCTTCTCCAAGAACACAGTGAACTTGGCCCGGCAGAGCTGTGGTTTGTGTCCACCCCCATAGCTTATGTCCTTTGATGTTCCGCCTGACTAATGGCCTGTCCATTCTCCTTCAGGACACATAAGGTGATGTCTTCCTGTTCTTCCTAATGGCATTTTTGGCCCACTACTATGAAAAAAGATCACATTAATACATAAACTGCCCCATGGAACAGATTCTAACTTGGAGATATGATTTAAAAGCTCTATATAACCCTCAAATATCTTTAAGAAAGGTCACTTAAATTCCTACTGAGATTTTTTTCAGTGGTCTTCCAGAAAAAAAGAAAAATTAATTTTTACCTGGAAGCAGTAGTGCATTGGCGTAGTTTATTAGAGCTGTTTAGCCCACTATCATGAAAAAACTTATTTGATCATCATTTTCTTATCTAGCATATCAGAGGTCCTTGAGGAAATTGGAAACGGGCAGGTAGGAAATCGGATGGGGTGATGTAAGGATGAAACTGATTGTGCATTAGGGTTTTATTCTACTCTGGATAGAGAAGGTTGCTGAAGAAACTCATGAAATCTTTATGAGCGTGTGTGTATGTGTCTCCAAGCACAGGGAGGTACTGAAGACTCATGAATAATAGAACTGGAGCTAAAAGAAGGTATTACATGCGAAAAATATATGGATTAAGGGCATTAGACACAAACATCTGCCTGCTTCACAATACTGTCCAGGGTTGGCCTGAAGGGTAAGAAGCAGGCCTGCCTCTAACATTTGTGGGGCTGAGTAAGGATCACATTAATGCCCTAATTACATATATCTAAATATTTAAAAGGTATACATTAAACCAATGAACTATTAAGTAAAATCTGTTTCTTTCTTTTTTTTTTTTTTTTTTCATTTTTTTAGAGAGGATCTTACTCTGTTGCCCAGGCTGGAGTGTAGTGGCACAATTACAGCTCACTGCAGGCTGACCTCCCAGGCTCAGGTAATCCTCCCACCTCAGACTCCTGAGTAGCTAGGACTACAAGCATGTACTACCGCACCTGGCTGTTTTTTTAATTCTTTGTAGAGATGGGGTCTTACTGTGCTGCCCAGGCTGGTCCTGAGCTTTTGGATTAAAGTGATCCTCCTCCTCAGCCTGGGAATGCTGGGATTACAGATGTGAGCCACCATGCCTGGCCAAATCTATTCTATCTTAACTTGACCAATATACAGCTGATTTTTATTATTCATGGATTCTGTCTTTTCAAATTTGCCTACTTGTTAAAGTTTATTCATGACCCCAAAATCAATACTTGGAGCACTTTCATGGCCATTTATGCACATGCACAGAGTTGCAACAAATATGAGTTGCCCAATGTGTGTGTTCTCAACTGAAGTGCCATGTTTTGTCTTTTTTTTGTTGGTGATTTTGTTATTAAAAAACGCCCCCAAGTGTAGTGCTGACATGCTGTCTACTATTCCTAAGTGGAAGAAGGTGGTGATGTGTCTTATGGAGAAATACAAGTGTGAGATAAGCTTCATCCAGGTGTGGGTTATGGTACTGTTGACCATGAGTTCAGTGTTAATGAATCAACAGTAAATAAGGTGTTTTTAAACAGAAGTACATGTAAAATGAGGTTATGTATTGATTAGCTGGCAAAAATGCAAAACAAAGTTAAATATTAATCAGTTGACAAAAATGTTGTGATCAAAGATTTTGGGAACCTAATGCTGTATATCTCCTGGGGTAAGCAATCAGCGTTCAATAACTCAATGTTCATAATGACTTTATAGAACATAACTGCTATGAATTATGTGAATTGATTAAACTTCCAAGGTGACAAAATTGAAAAATATGTGTAAAGCTATCATTTTTATTTGACTGGAGCTCATTAAAACATCACTGGATTTAACTTAATTATATCAAGTGTGTCTGGATATTTTGTTGATAGGCCTATGATATTTGGATAGATAATAAGGACATGCATAATTCATTACCTATTATAGCTAATTTTACAATATTTATTTGTATTGCCTTCATTTCATCAAAATCACTAATTATATTGTTATAATCAAGATTTTTACCTGTTCTATTAACATTAATGATTAAAATTTTTTTCCTTTACATTTTACTGCCTTGGTATTTTTTTTTTATTATTATACTTTAAGTTTTAGGGTACATGTGCACAACGTGCAGGTTAGTTACATATGTATACATGTTCCATGTTGGTGTGCTGCACCCATCAACTCATCATTTAACATTAGGTGTATCTCCTAATGCTATCCCTCCCCCCTCCCCCCACCGCACAACAGGCCCCAGTGTGTGATGTTCCCCTTCCTGTGTCCAAGTGCTCTCATTGTTCAATTCCCACCTATGAGTGAAAACATGCGGTGTTTTGTTTTTTGTCCTTGCAATAGTTTGCTGAGAATGATGGTTTCCAGCTTCATCCATGTCCCTACAAAGGACATGAACTCATCATTTTTTATGGCTGCATAGTATTCCATGGTGTATATATGCCACATTTTCTTAATCCAGTCTGTCATTGTTGGACATTTGGCTTGGTTCCAAGTCTTTGCTATTGTGAGTAGTGCCACAGTAAACATACATGTGCATGTGTCTTTAGAGCAGCATGATTTATAATCCTTTGGGTATATACCCAGTAATGGGATTGCTGGGTCAAATGGTATTTCTAGTTCAAGATCCCTGAGGAATCGCCACACTGTCTTCCACAATGGTTGAACTAGTTTACAGTCCCACCAACAGTGTAAAAGTGTTCCTATTTCTCCACATCCTCTCCAGCACCTGTTGTTTCCTGACTTTTTAATGATCGCCATTCTAGCTGGTGTGAGATGGTATCTCATTGTGGTTTTGATTTGCATTTCTCTGATGGCCAGTGATGATGAGCATTTTTTCATGTGTCTTTTGGCTGCCTAAATGTCGTCTTTTGAGAAGTGTCTGTTCATATCCTTCGCCCACTTTTAAAATTTAACTATGTTTTAAGTGAATATAACATGAATATATTTTATAATAAAGTATAAGTTTATACAAGGAAAAATTTAAGACTATATATTAAATTTATTTCTTGTAAAATATTAGAAATTATTTATTATATAAAAAATTAAATTATAATTAATGGATATCAACATTTAAGATCAGCTTTAATTAATCAAATTTTTAATTTTATTATTTGAAAATATAATTCAACCATTGAATATTTTTATAAAAACAAAACTATTTGTCATTCAGTGCTCATCAATTGCCAATCTATTGTTATCATTATAGACCTACATTTATATACACACAAAATGTGATTGTCTAATATTTCTTTCTAGTTGCCATGTAGAACTGTTGCAAACACTGTAATTACTGAATACTTCTGAATTAGAACTTGAGGAGAAGCAAGAAAATAAACTTGGCATTACTTGTAAACAATACTTTCTTATTGAACAACCCTTCTTATTAAAGAGTTAATTGTCTCATGCTATATAGGAAGAAGTACTTTAAAACTAATTAATTTGTATCTTCTTTTATCTAAGTGTTTTTGTCACAAATCCTTTCCGTACTCTGAGTCCCTTTACATCTCTGGTTCTTATGTCTGCAGTGAAACAACCTAGTGAGATCCAGTACAGCTTCCAACTTATATTAGACCAACTTTCCTCCCTATGACATTAATAGCTGGGGTATGGAGCTGTCAGAGTGACACGTAAACTCCAATCAGATCACCAAGTGGCCTCAGAAATGCACACATACAAGGTAAGACTGCAAGAAACTTAGAAACAAGAGCTAGAAGGCTAAAAGAGCTGAATAGAGATTTTGGTGGGTGCCCACTTCAGTAGATTTGGAGTTTTGATTTTAATTCCTGCCAAATGAGAGTGATTGGATGAACACCTCGGCCTTCCCACTGAGGCCTCACATCTTAGAAATAAAGACCATATTACAGGACTAAATGATTTTCCCCAGGACTAAGGGTGATACCAAAATAGAGCTACTCTTAAAAACAAAACAGACCAGGCACGATCTCTCATGCTTGTAATCCAAGAACTTTGGAGTATCACTTGAGCCCAGGAGCTTGAGATCAGCCTGGACAACATAATGAAACCTTGTTTCTTACAAAAAATTTAAAAATTAGCTGGGTGTGGTGGTGCACACCTGTAGTCCCGGCTAGTCAGGAAGCTGAGGTGGGAGAATTGCTTGAGCCTGGGAGGTCAAATCTGCAGTGAGCTATAATTCACCACTATGCTCCAGACTGGGTGACAGAGTGAGACTCTGTCTCAAAAACAAAAACATAAACAAACACACAAAACAACCTGCAAACCAAGTCTTCACAAGTTCAGAGTGATCAAGAAGAGGGATCAAATTTAGTGTCTCTACAACATGTCATTCATAATGTTCAATAGGTAATACAGAACTATTAGATGTTAAAGAAACAGGAAAATATGATCCAAGGTCAAGAGAAAAATCAGTTTATAGGAGCTGACTATGGTTACTCAGATGTTTGAAAAAGCAGAGAAGTGCTTTACCAACATATGTAAAAGAATCTGTGGGAAAAATGTTAAGAGTGAAAAGTTGGTGAATTTTTGAAAATATACAGGCACTGTAAAAAACATTCTAATGAAAATTCTACAACTGAAAAATAAAGTATCTGAAGTAAAAAATTGGATGAGATTAGTAGAAGTTTGGCCGATATAGAAGAAAGGATTATAAATTTGAAGACAGGTCAATAGAAATCATCCAAACTGAAGTACATAGAGAAAAAAAATGGTTGAAAAATAGCAGAGTCCAAGTGATCTATGGGACACTATTGAATACATATTGAAGTTTCAGAAGGAGAGGTGAGGGAGAATGAGGAAAAAATAGTTGAAGAAGTCTTGGTAGAAAAATTTCCAGATTGGGTAAAAAGATACCCATCTATGATCCAAGAGTCTTGGAGAATCCCGAACAGGGTAAATATACGGAAAACTAAATAACGTAAGAGTCAACTGCTGAAAACAGAAGGTAAAAGACATCTTAATATTTGACACAATTCTTCATTAGTCTCTTGTGTTTCTACACATCTGATCAAAGAGACTAATTTCCCTTTTGTTCCAGACTACCTTTTCAAAGATGGTTGTATATCAAACAGCCTTGGAAGATAGAGTGTCTCCTTGTGTAGCACAGGACAGGTTTGTTTACTGCTCAGTGTAAGAAATGTAATGTTTCCCTCCAGGACCAAGGTCTGGCAGGCTTACTGAAAGGCAGCTATTAGCTTGCTACTGAGTTCTTGTGGAAATTGAACACCTGACCATGGAGGCATTGTGTTGTGACTCTCTGCCTTGATATAACCATTTTTGGGTGTGTTAACTCAGACTCAATGAGTAGGAATCTAAGAGCTCTACTTGTCAAATGGAAATGGTATGTTCAAAAATGTAGCTGGCCAGATTCCGGTGGTATCTTGGCTTTACATGAAAAAGTGCCTTTTATTCCTTTGGGAGAAACTTCATTCCTATTTTACTGCCTGAAGCAAAACTATTGCTCAGTGGGCCCTTGAATCACCAAGGTTTCTCTAAATACCTGGGTTTAGTTAACAGGTGGCTAGACTAAAATCTGACTAACTTGAGCTGTTGCCAATGGCCTCGTGTTTGGTATGCCACACAGAAGCAACACACTGGTGGATTAATGGAACCCTTCTTTTGGGGCCATGAACCATGAGAACAAATTGTGGCTGCCTACTGAACTGTCTGAATTACTCATGGATGCCTACAGTAAGGGCCTATCTTTTTTTTTTAACAGCAGCATGGGACTCTATTTTGTTTATGTTACCATATTTTATTTAATCAATCTTTTATGCTTGAACATTTAGATAGCTTCCAATGTTTTGCAATTACAAATAATCCTATAGTGAATAAACCTCATACATATGCATATTTTTTACTTAATTTTTATAGTAGTTTTAGATTCACAGCAAAATTAAGAGGAAGGTACTAAGATTTCCCATACACCTGCTGCCCCCACCTGTGCATAGTGTCCCCCGTTATCAACATCCCCCACCAAAATGGTACAATTATTAACAATTGATGAACTTACATTGACACAGCATAATCACCCGAAGTCCATAAGTTTACTTTAGGGTTCACTCTTGGTGTTCATTCTATGGGTTTGGACAAATGTATAATAACATGTGTGTATGACTCATGCACATGTGTTTTTGTATCCCTAGAGGTGTATCTTTAGAAGTGGGGTTGCTGAGTCAAAAGGTAAATGCATCGGTAATTTTGTCAGAGATTGCTATATTCTCTTCCAGTTAGGGTTGTTATAGAGTGCATTCCCACCAGCTATCTATAAAAGTTCTTTTCCCCTCTATATCATTGCCTGCAGGATATATTGTCAAGCTCCTGAACTTTTGCCAATCTGATGAGTAAGAAATGGTGTCTCAGTGGTTTTAATTCTTGTGTTTCCTTTGTCTGACTTCCATTTCAACAACATTCTCTATGACCACTTTAAAAAATTATAATTGTATTTTAATTAAGTAGAGATATGGGAGATTTTTTAAAATATCAAATTCTATAGATGAAATCTATAGTGTATAGTCTGAAATGAAAAAAAGCACTGCAGAAGAAAACAAAACAAAAAACCATTGGAGAAGAAAAGATTAATGAGCTAGAAAAAATAGAGGTAGAAACTAACACAAATGAAACATAAAGGGAAAAATGAATTTGAAAAATAAAAAGACTATCAGTGGGAAAACTTTAAACACCCTACTATATGGGTAAAAGGAATTACCATTTTTTATTTCTTTTTAACATTTTTTTCTAATTCTGTGAAAAATATCATTGGTAGTTTGATAGAAATAGCATTGAATCTACAAATTACTTTGGGTAGTATGGCCATTTGAACAATATTGATTCTTCCTATCCATGAATGTGGAATGTTTTTCCATTTGTTTGTGTAATCTCTGATTTCCTTGTGCAGTGATTTGTAGCTGTCTTTGAAGACTTCCTTCACTTCCCTGGTTAGCTGTATTCCTAGGTATTTTATTCCATTTGTGGTAATTGTGAATGGGATTGCAGTCTTGATCTGGCTCTCAGCTTGGATGTTGTTGGTGTATAGAAATGCTATTGATTTTTGTACATTGATTTTGTATTCTGAAACTTTGATGAACTTGTTTATTAGATCAAGAAGCTTTTAGGCAGAGACTATGAGGTTTTCTAGGTATGAAATCATATTGCATGCAAATAGGAATAGTTTGACTTCCTCTCTTCCTATCTGGATGCCTTTTATTTCTTTCTCTTGCCTGAATGCTCTGGCTAGGACTTCCAGTACTATGTTGAATAGGAGTTCTGAGAGTGGGCATCCTTGTCTTATTCTGGTTTTCAAGGGGAATGCTTACAGTTTTTACCTATTCAATATAATGTTGGCTGTGGGTTTATCATAGATGGCTCTTATTATTTTGAAGTATGTTCCTTCAATGCCTAGTTTGTTCAGTGTTTTCAACATGAAGTGATGTTGAATTTTATTAAAAGCGTTTTCTGCATCTAGTTCTGTTTATGTAATAAATCACATTTATTGATTTGCATATGTTAACCAATCTTGAATCCCAGGAATAAAGCCTACTTGATCGTGGTGGATTAACTTTTTGATGTGCTGCTGGATTTGATTTGCTAGTATTTTGTTGCAGATTTTTGCATCTATGTTGGGATATTGGCCTGAAGTTTTCTTTCTTTCTTGTGTCTCTGCCAGGTTTCAGTAGCAGAATGATGCTGGCCTCATAGGATGAGTTAAGGAAGAGCCTCTCCTCAATTTTTTGGAATAGTTTCAGTTGGAATGGTGCCAGCTCTTCTTTATACATCTGATAGGAATTGGCTGTGTATTCATCTGGCCTGAACTTTTTTTGGGTTGGTAGGCTTTTTGTTACTGATTCAATTTCAGAGCTCATTATTTTTTCTGTTCAGGATTTGTTTCTTCCTGGTTCAACCTTGGGAGATTGTATATTTCCAGGAATTTATCCATTTCTTCTAGGTTTTTTAGTTTGTGTGCATAGAGATGTTTGTAATAGTCTCTGAGGATTTTTTTTTTTTATTTCTGTGGGGTCAGTGGTAATGTCCCCTTTGCCATTTCAAGATTATGTTTATTTGGATCTTCTTTCTCCTTTTCTTTATCACTCTAGCTAGTGGTCGATCAATATTATTTATTCTTTCAAAGAATTAATTTTTGGTTTTGTATGGTTTTTTGGTCTCAATTCCCTTCAGGTCAGCTCTGATTTTAGTTATTTCTTTTCTTCTGCCAGCTTTGGGGTTGGTTTGCTCTTGTTTTTCTCATTCCTCTAGGTATAATGTTAGGTTATTAATTTGAGATCTTTCTAAGTTTTTGATGTGAGTGTTTAGTGCTATAAACTTTCCTCTTAACACTGCTTTAGCTGTGTCCCAGAAATTCTCATATGTTGTTTCTTTGTTTTCATTTGCTTCAAAGAATTTTTTGATTTCTGCCTTAATTGTTTACCCAAAGGTCATTCAGTACCAGGTTGTTTAATTTCTATGTTGTGTGGTTTTATCTTCCCAAATTCTTCTACAGAAGCTGGTTCTCTGAGGCTAGTACTTCTAGACCTACAAACTTTCAAGTACTTTCTCCATAGTCAGGGTTTTGTTTCCAGCCTGTGTTCGGTATTTTTTTGTATTTACTGTTCTACTTTTTTCTTCTAGAGATGATTTTTGTTTGTATTTCTTCTAAGTTCTCTCCTTCCTTTTCTTCTTTTTCATGATGACTTTTTATTTCCTTCCCACCCCCACACACTCTTCACACCCACAGGATTGTGGTTGTGGCAGAGGCTGTTGGTAGAAACTGTGTTGGAATTTGATCCTTTATTTTTCCTGAAAGCCTAGTTTATTTCTCTACTTGAGTTTTTTTTACATTTAACTCTTCAATCAATTTGTAATGGTAAAGTAAGAATTTATCACTAATTTTTTCCTTAAATAGCCAATTTTTCAAAACCATGACATGTCATAATATGATTAGTTTTTTATTATTCGGGTTGTGGTAGTTGCTTTATTAAATACTAGGGTCTAGTTCAAGAGAATCTATTGGCTGAACATGGTAGCTCACACCTGTACTCACAATGCTTTGGGAGCCTGAGGAAGGAGAATTGCTTGAAGGCAGAAGTTAGAGGATGTAGTGAGCTACGATTGTGCCACTGCACTCCACTTGGGAAACAGACTGTCTCAAAAACAAAATAAAACAAACAAAGAGAGTACCTATTATAAATCATTAAATTCAAATATCAGTACCATAATGTATTACAATCCTTTCAAATATAAACTTTTAATTTTAGATGTATGGAAAAATTCTGAAGATAGTCTAGAAGGATTTCTCATACCCCACACCCAGTTTTCCCTATTATTAACACCTAATATTATCATGGGACGCACATTTGTGTGCACACAAAAAAAAGAACCAATATTGACAGGTTGTTATTAACTAAAACACACATTTCATTTAGATTTCCTTATTTTCAAATGAATGTCTGTGTTGTGTTTCAGGATCCTAGCTAGGATACTATACCATATTTAGTTGTCCTGTCTCATCAGGATCCTCCTGGTTTGTATTTACTTTTTTTTGTGATAGTTTCTCAGATTTACTTTGTTTTCAACGACATTGAAGGTTTTGAGAAGTATTATTCAGATATTTTGTGAAATGTTTTTGAATTTGGATCTGTTTTTCCCCCATGATTATACTGGGGCTATGGATTCTTAGAGAAGGAATAAAATATAGGTTAAGTGTCATTTTCAACACATTGTATGAGGGGTACATACTATCAATATGACCACCTTAGTCTGTTCATGCTATTGTCCCAAAATACCTGAGTCTAGGTAATTTATAAGCAACAGAAATGTGTTTCTCAAAGTTCTCGAGGCTGAGAAGTCCCAGATCAAGGTGACTGTAGGTTCAGTGTCTGGTGGGGCCTTAGTCTCTCTGCTTCCAAGATGTTGCCTTGTTACTGTGTCTTCCTGAGGGATGAATGGTGTGTTCTCATATAGCAGAATGGTGGAAGGGCAAAAGGGGCATCAGCTATTTTCCCCCAACGTATTTTTTTAATTAGGCACTAATCCATTTATGAGGGCAGAGCCCTTGTTACTTAGTCAATTCTCAAAGGTCCCACTTCTTAATTTCACCACAAGGGGATTCAGTTTCAACATGAATATTGAAAGTAAATAGAGGGAAAACATGTCCAACAAGTGGATTCTGAGGCATTTTTAAAGTCTAGAGGTCAAGAAACTGAAAAGGGATGATCAAAGGAGGTTGAGTAGAATGGCCAATAAGGTAGAAGGAAACCATGGGAATGTGATGTGTTGAGAGCCAAGTAAAGAAGGAAAGCATTAATGAATCAAACCATTCATCTTCTCTGCTCCATCCCCAGTATGCAAAACTATGCTAGAAGGAATGGCATTGCTTGTGTCCAACAGATTCACGATCTCCAAAAATAACTTTCACTACTATTCACTGTTGTGGCTCTTCTAAACCTTCACCCTTCTTGATTCCCTCTCCTTCAAGATGATTTGTCTTCTGCTTCACAGAGAGAACTGATATAATCAGGCTTTAACTTCCCCGACTTACCAGTTTTGTACCTCTGTCTATATGTGCATCTACTTTCACCTTCCTCTCTCAGCGTCAGAGGATGGGTGGACTATTTTCTGTTTAAGATGTGTCCCCTCACAGCCAGCATTTTTGTTTAAGTCCCACAGTCCCCTGTTGAAAATTGCTTATTAGTTTTCTTTATCTTTATATTTTTAGTTTCTTTCTGTCTAGTAGGTTCTTTCCAGTGGAGTGGGGGAAGCTGAACTGAGGAAACGTAGAAGAGCTTATGCTTATTATTTATTTATTCTTCTAAAGCATGGAGGGGAGTTCTGCCTACCCTTAGGGAGAAAACAGCATTGAAACAATATTTCTCATTCTTCCCACCTCTTCCTCCCACTTCCTCAACACGAGTGGGACGATTTATCTTGCTGATGAGATCAGGGCAAGAGGCAGTGCTCATGAGTGGTCTGTTTTTTTTGCCTTCTCTCCTGTACAGCCAGCTGTTTTGATTGGTGAGATTTGTCATTCTTTCTAGGCTGTCTCCTCTATGCAAAATACTGGTGGAAACCATGATGTGCTTGCTCAGGCCCCACAACTTCCCATCCTCTGCCTGGAAGTCAGTGAGATACTTTAGCTGTTGGAGGTAAGTTAGGAAGCACATTTCAGGCTGGGTGCAGTGGCTCATGCCTGTAGTCCCAGCACTTTGGGAGGCCGAGGCGGGTGGATCACACGAGGTCAGGAGTTCGAGATCAGCCTGGCCAACATGGTGAAACCCCGTCTCTCTAAAAATACAAAAATTAGTCAGTCGTGGTGGTGGGCACCCGTAATCTCAGCTAATCAGGAGGCTGAGGCAGGAGAATCACTTGAATCTAGGAGGCAGAGGTTGCAGTGAGTCGAGATCATGCCACTGTACTCCAGCCTGGGAGACAAGGGTGAAACTCCATCTAAGATAAAAATAAAAATAAAAAAATTAAAAAAAGCACATTTCAATTTCTAGTACAAGCTTTGTTCTCTGTTTCAACTTTATTATGAACATAACTGATATTTCCCCTCCTATTTGACTCATATCTGCTTATCAATTTGGTTCAGAACTTGGAGAAGAAGAAAGGTATAATTAGTACCTGGAACTTCCAACATATAATACTGGGAAAACTTCAGAGTAGATTCTCATTTGGAGACAAGGTTACCCTGTAGCAAGAAAGAGCCTTCGTGTGTGACCAGAGAAGAGGATTTAGCATGTCTCTAATCAGTGTGGTTTGCTGTACATTGTTGAGAGCAGATATGGTGGGTGTGCCTGATACTGGCATCAGATCAGAGTGTTTTAGTTCTGTCTAGTAAAGGCTTACTTCAGAACAGGTGGTGCTTCAGTATAAAGGCTTTTAAGGCTTGAGTGGATGCAACACTGTTTTTATCAAGTTGTTTTTAACATTTATTATTATTTATTTATTTATTTTAGAATCCAAGATTGCCAGATGTTACTGCTGTAAAAAGATGGGGACAAAGGAATGCTACTTAACTCTGCTGCATTACATGTTACTCAAGCCCGTAAAATTCATGCAGCAAATGCTTTTGGTGTTCTGCTTTGGATCCCCCAGCACTCACCCACGCACCAGCTGATAGCTTCCTACTCTGACAACTCTGAACTAAATTCAGCCCTGGGTGCTTTTTCCACTATTATGTTTGCTCCAGTTCCTGCTGCCATTGTTGTAAATAAAGGATGCAGGTTTTACACAGCAGGGTGAACCTCTCACCTGCAAGTAGTGTATCCTTGCCAGTGCTTTGAGATATGCAACTGCTGGGCTCTTGCTACTTTGCTTATGTGGTTTCAGCCCAATCTCAGTCCTGTTCATCCTAATTTCTGACCCCATTTTTGCAAACAGCAGGTATAACTTTTCCATTTCTGATGAGTCCCATATCTCTGGAACTGTATGTTTTTGCTGGCACATTATGAACTATGCTGTTGCTGGGCTTTTTTTTTTTTTAACTTTCTTTACTTCTCTTTCTTTCTCACACTAGTTTATACCTGATTTCAGCTACTTTTGGCAACCCCTATACATATTCTGGAGATTGAAAATGTTATCTGTCTCCTAGTTGTGTTAAAAATGTAGGCTGGGTGCAGTGGGTCACGCCTGTAATCCCAGCACTCTGGGAGGCCGAGGCGGGCAGATCACCTGAGGTCAGGAGTTTGAGACTAGCCTGGAGAACATGGTGAAACCCGTTTCTACTAAAAATACAAAAATTAGCTGGGCATGGTGGCGGGCACCTGTAATCTCAGCTACTCTGGAGGTTGAGGCAGGAGAATCGCTTGAACCCAGGAGGCGGAGGTTGCAGTGAGCTGAGATCGCACTGTTGCACTCCTCCCTGGGCAACAAGAGCAAAACTCCGTCTCAAAAAGAAAAAAAAATTGGAGTTTGCAGGATATTTTATTCTACTCATTCTCAATGTCTCCTTGCAAGAGGACAAAGGGTGACACCTTGACTTATGCAGCTATGTTCATACCAGAAATTTTGGGAGTTGTATCATTCAGGGTGCATACAGAGACAAGAATTATACCAATTATTTCATAAGAAACAATCTTATGTAAAGAAAAGACAAAAGAGAGAGTGAGGTATCCCAGAGCCAACAGTGACAGAAAGAAGCTACTACTCCTTTTGCTGAGGGTACAAAGAGAAGGATTTGGGATTCTTAAAACCTTAAGGTGTAAATGAGCAGTCCTTGTACATTTGGGACTCAAACTCTGAGATGGAGGGACACTTTTTGGCTGGTACTTGTACCTCAAGAATTTGGAATACAGTTCCATGATGGTGGGACTCAGACTTCTGAATGATTGATAGCTGCTTGACTGGAGCTGGTGTCTCTGGTCTTACAAGAGGAAACCCTTGGAACTAGGACGGACTTCTGAAGAGGTATTGGCTGGTTGGTGTTGGCGGCTCTAGGGGACTGGGGGTGGGGGTGAGGAAATGACTATTTTGTTAGTGTGGGAAAAATGCAAATTGGAAGAAACAAGTAAACTGGAATCAACTGGTGCTCTTAGTTGATGAACCATTGCTGTAGTGACACTGATAGAATCAGGGAATAAACAGGAAGGAGCAAATCCTTTGTTCCTCCTTCAGGCTCCCAGTCTCACAATAGTGCAGAGTCTCACACATTGGCAGAGAGGAACAGGGAACCAGCGCCATCAAGCAAAGGACAGAGTCTGGGTTTGAAATTATGGGACAGCAGTTCAGTGTCCTTTTCAGGTAAAAACACATAGCTTTCTTTAATTCTGACAAAATCTGCATTTTTGTTCTTTAGCTACTTTATTCTCACTTTCTTCTGTAGATTAAGTTTGGCACTTCTGGATGTATTCTCCATGGTCTTTATCCTTTTACACTGTGTGCTTTTTTAGCTTCATCTTCTAACTCACTAATTTGCATTTCAACCGTATCCAATTAGGTAGTTAATAACTAAATTTTTTGATTTCAATAATTTGTTTTCATTTCTAAGGCCTCGGATGTATTCTTTTTCATAACTGTTCTTGTTTTATGGGTACAATATCCCTCCTCATCTTTCTGATATAATATCTTTATTTTGGAGTGCTGGGCCTTAATTTTTTTTGCCTTAGAAGTTTCTTTTTTTTTTAGATTAGAAAAAATATAGCTGGAAATATGCTGCTAGATACTGAGTGCATATTTTGACCAACTCAAATGCAAACATGTCCTTGCAAAATTCACCAGTTGGCCAAGTTAAAAATCTGCCTATTTCCCAATAGAATTTCACATCAGTATTCTCCTTAGCAAATGTATTTGATGAATGAAAAACAGTGACTAGGGCTGGGTGTGGTGGCTCATGCCTGTGATCACAGCACTTTGGGAGGCCAAGGCGGGTGGATTGCTTGAGCCCACAAGTTTAAGACCAGCCTGAACAACATGGCAAAACCCCGTCTCTACAAAAAATAAAAATTAGTTGGGTGTGGTGGCATGGGCCTATAGTCCCAGCTACTGGGGGGCTAAGGTGGGAGGATTGCCTCCGTCCTGGAGGCGGAGGCTGCAGTCCTCACTGCACTCCAGCCTGGGCAACAGAGCAAGATGCTATCTCAGAAAAGAAAAGAAAAACTGTGACTCAGAAGGGTGGGGGCTGCTGGCTAGGGCAGACTTTAGATGCTGTCCATAGCTTTGAACTTGCCGAAGGCCTGCATGGGACTCATATACTTCTCTTACTGGCATTTGATGGAGATCACGTGGGATGCCTTCACTGTTTGTACCACGATGTTCATCGTACAAACACAATGTTCAGCAATTCCTTGGCTGCTGGATTGGGGTTACTGTGCTGTCCATCCTGGAGATGACAAGCTCCTCACTGAGGTTATGAACCATGGCCATGATTTTGCTGCAGATGTTGAGGTGGTGGCAGTAGAGGGTGATGTGCTGCAGGTGGGCTAGCAAGTGCGGCTTCCAGGCTGAGTCTGAGCAGTAGTTTGTAACGATAAAGTTAAGCTGATCCATCCTAGATCTTGTCTTAGCAATTTTCTTGGCTGCACTGATCTTGTCTGATGAATTTTTGAGCAGTCCTTCACATTGGGTAAAGTCAGTCATCTCTATCATTAGCATGTACATTACCATAAGTCTGCTTGGCCAGCATGATGATGTCATTGCCACTGTTACCCCATTTGGACATGTCAGCATCCAGATTGCTCTTTTGTTCTTCTTCTAGTTGTCTGACTAAGTCATTTTACTCAACAATAAATTGTATTTATTGTCTGTCTTTCATGTCTCACTCTTCAGAAATCTGAAAATTCTTATCTATGGGATAATTTTTTTAGATTAGATTTCCTGTTCCATAATGGTCTTTGTGCATCTCACTAAAGAAAATTGGGTGAAGCTACTATTAAGTTTTATGCTTTGAACTGTTTTCTCTGAGAGCCAGGGATGGGTGGGATATACCCTTAGGCATGAGGCACCATCTATTGGTCTTCTGAGCTAAACTGTTAATTTTCCCCTGAAATGATCAGATACGCAGACACTTATCCCACCTGAAGACATTTTCTGTTGCAGGTGATTGGCCTGCAGAAGGCAGGTGGAGATCTATAGTTAGTCAACCAGTCTGTTTGCTTCCCTTGAAGTATGCCCACAAATCTCATTATTATGTTGGTCGCCCCTCATGATCCCAGCTTCTGCCACCTCCAGATACAGAGCTCCCATGACATTGCTAGCACCTTTTGTAGTTGTGCCCTCTTCTGGATTCTCACCTGTGAGATGGTGTGTGGTTTTCCCTCTTCTCTCCAATCCTGTCTCTTCTCAGTGTCTTGAAGATTCCTCACAATGTCTGATTCTTTGAGGCTTCCATCTTGTTTTGGAGTGGAGCTGCATACTTACTAAATTTTAATAATTATCTTTTAAATTATTTTTAGTGCTGGCAAAACTAGAGCATGTAACATGTGTTTGGCTTAGAATATAAAAACTAGAAATAGTTCCTGGAATTTTATATGGTGGAAGTGAGAGGGTGATGGTTTACTACTTGTCAGCTTATGGAACTAAAATAATGAGGATTTGTACCATGACTATGTGTTCCATAGAGAAACTATCTAGAGGAGGAAAGGATGAAGCTAAATAGAGGAAAGAGGGAAGGCTCTGAGAGCACAGACACAGTGCAGTTCTCGAGGTTCCTGGAGCTATTCTTTCTTGGTCCTTACTATTCTTTCTTCACTTTAGTGACCCATCCCAGGATCCCTGCAGTTTACTTCCCCCATCCTGGATTTTGCCCATCCCTCACTTTTTCTTTTGCTTGAGGTGCCATATGTGTCCATCTATAAATACAAAAAATAAACCTATCTCACCATCTCACGCGTGAGAATGCAGAGGAGGGCACAAATACAAAAGGTGCTAGCAATGTTGTGGGAGGTCTATGTCTGCAGGTTTGTTTTCCCTCTTTATAGCTGTACCTCAGAAAATAGTTTATCCTATTTAGGGGACCCTCTCAATGGTTTCATTCTGAATAACAATGTTCAATGATGTCTGGGGAGCACATGAGCCTGAAATAACCTTCATCCAGTGCTAGTTTTGGGTACTGATAATGTTGAGCTTTACCTGTAATTAATCTAATCAATCAATCTAATCAATCTAAAATTGATTAGAAATGTTGATCATTAATAATGACAAAATACATTTTGTCATTGTTTCAAAAGACAAATTAATGTAACTTTGGATGTTATAATAATACAGTAAAAGGTTTACTTATGGACATCAGAAATATGCAACTCTAGGGTGAATGGGGAAAAATACCCGTTATATATTATGTGAATATCCTATGGCTTGGGACAAAACTTCCAGGGACAGTATCATATACAGATTCAAAAAATGCTATACTGAAAAATCTAGAAATTACAATGATACACTCTGGGAAAATTGTGTTGAATGATTTATTGAAAGTGAGAATGCATCAGAAGAGTGTGATAAACTGATTTAAAGAAATGCATAGTATTCATTATAAAAAAGTTATCCCAGTAGTTTCCTATTATATTATTTTATATATAATTTTGAATATGGAGTAAAAATAATATGAAGTATTGATACATAGGTATTTGACTATTTGACATAAATTTCTAAAAGCATTGATTTGGGCTAATAATTTATTTTTTAATTTTCAAGTTTCCTCCTTGGGAAAATGGAAGGCTGTATTTGAATATACAAGGCAGTGGGTGTTGGGTGTCAATTGCTTGCAAGTCCTGTCTAATGTGTCAGGAGCCAGTGGATGGGTTATCTCTACAGGAATATAATCAATAAGGTGTGTATTCAGGTCGAGCTAACTGCTTGTCACTTTTTCTCTCTCATGAAGTGCAGCTAAAGAAAATAGTCATTCTCTTCTTAAAGTATTAAGATCCAGGCCAAAGGAAATGGAATAGCTAGCGGCTGTTTAAAATGTGGGAAACATAGCACTGCTAACCAGTTATCCACTCCAAATGAGAAATGTGATGTGCTAGAAAACATATTGGAGAAACATGGTTGGGTTCTAGAGGTAAGTACATAGTCCCTCTGTGGAATTGAGGCATCTGATAATTTAGAGGGCATGAATTTCAGGAGCTGACTGAAGTGGGAAACCCAGGAAAGAGAAGCACATCTTATAAGGCTTCCAAGGGCACTTAGTTTTCTGCTAGTCTTTCTAGGAATGCAGGTGCCTGGCAACTGAAGCACGTAGAACCGTCTATTCAAATCTGCCAATACTTGTTTAGAAAGGCTACTCAGAGGACAAAGCATATTTTCAAACTGTGAATTAGAAGCTTCAAATAGAATTGAAGCTCAGAAAAGATTATATGCCTCGAGGAAAGAACAGCCGTGTTCGTAATGATGTTTAGGTTCAAGTTCATAGATGCTCAAACTGGAGAGCCCATAAAGCATCCAGCAGTTTGGTTGCTTTCTTCTGAGGAATGTGAACTGAATAGATTCTTTTTCTTTTAAGAGGAAGCAGCTTTTGCTCTAACTGTTGGTCCACGGACTAACACATGTGTTAAGAAGAAATCACATATTGGCTGAAACTAAGGGACTCACATTGCCTTTGATGTGGCCTGGCATAAAATTTGGTCCATAATGAGCAACAGACACCAACTCTGTCTAGCTCAAGCTTCAACACTGCATGTTATTGGCAGGTTGAAATGCAGTTGCTAGGTGGCTGACTAGGGTCACCCAATTACTAAGGGAATCACTCCCACACACATGGCTGGACTAGACCTTAAGTGGTTTAAGCACTGAAAAAATTGTGTCTCTTCATATATGTAATCCAAATGGAAAACAGCACTAAACCACAAAGTAAAGTTTCTGCTGTTCCCAAAATGAGTATTTTAATTCTTTTGAAATTTTGGCATTTTAAAAACCTTTTTTCCTCCATTTTTTGATGCCTTTGCCATGCTGTTGTCTTCAGTACATGCTGAATTTATTTAATGGACAAGTCAACACTTCACAAACACTAGCCTCACAGTGAATCACCCTTATATTGTGCTGAGGGGGATGTAACTTATTAAAACCTCAAAGGAGGGCAACTTGGTAGTATTAGCAAAATAAAACATGCACACAGTCTTTGGCTCAACAATTCTCCTTCTAGGAACTCGTCTACAAAAGCACTCACACTTGTGCAAAGTAATACACATGCAAGGTTATTTAGCAAAATGATAGAAACAGTTTTCATACTCATAAAAAAATTAGACACATCCAGAGAGTGAACTGTTATACATTTGTTTCTTTAAAAAATGAGAGAATTCTTTATGTATTTTAGAGGCATTATCTTCAAGATATAATGTTAAATAAAAAGCAAATGTTCAAGATAATTTATATAATTTAGTGCCATTTGTGTAACATACACATTTACTTCTGTATGTACAGAGCACTTCTGGAAGGACACATCAAAACTGGCAGCAGCGTTTGTCTCTTAGGAGTAGAACTGAGGAGTTAGTTGGCCAGCAGAGATGAGAGAGGGGGTTATTTTTCACTGCATTTTTAATCTTTTGAATATTATAGCATTTATAACTAGCTTTCCAAAAAGGAATAAAATCAAATAATCTAGGAAAACTAATTAATTTTTGTGTTAGCAAATGACAAACCACCATATGTCTTAAACCCTTGAGGCAACTTAATAGTTAAAACCATGGAAGGTAAAACGGGGGAATGCCAACGATATGTTTTATTAAGAAAGGGAAAGATGGATTCTCAGATTTGATTAATATTACTGCACATGTGTTCCATGGGCTATCAGTGTGGGCATCACCTGAGAGCTTGTTAGAAATGCAGAATTTCAGCCCCCATCCCAGACTCACTGAATCAGATTACACAGTTTAAGAAGATTCCTGGATTGAATACACGCTAAGGTGTGAAAAGCACTGTTCTATATTCCTCTTCCACTATTCCTCTGTGTCTATGGTACAGCTGTTTTTGTTTTGTTTTGTTTTGTTTTCTGAGACAGGGTGTTACTCTGTCGCCCAGGCTGGAGTGCAGTGGTGTGATCTCGGCTCACTGCAACCTCCACCTCTCAGATTCAAGAGATTCTCCTGCCTCAGCCTGCCAAGTAGCTGGAATTACAGGCGCCCACCATGACGTCTCACTAATTTTTGTATTCAGTAGAGACAAGGTTTTGTCACATTGGCCAGGCTAGTCTCGAACTCCTGACCTTGAGTGATCTGCCCGCCTTGACCTCCCAAAGTGTTGGGATTATAGGCCTGAGCCACTGCACCTGGCCTATTGCTGGTTTTTTTGTTTTGCTTTGTTTTGTTTTGTTTTAACCAGTGTTAGATGTTTGGGGACAAGCTAAGCTTTGCTTGACCTGGCACAAGTATTAACAGAAGCCAGAAGTCTAACCTCATTTTTTTTTAATATTCTTTTTCAGACTGTGTACTTTTTCCTCTACAGTATGCTGGCTATGACTGCTGGTTTTCTCTCATATTTGTTCTCTTCTTCTTCCTCAGTAATAAAACTCTTAACTTCTTGTTAGGCACATGGAAGCCCATGTAATGGTTATATTCCTCAACCATTCTCATACCTAGATGCAGCCAAGTGACTAGGTTCTGGCCAAAGGGGTGTTTGCCTCTCATGGGACATGTCGTTAAAGAGAGGGGCTGTGCTCTTTTTGAATGTTCCTCCTTCATTTTTCCTGAAATAGGAATGCAGTGTCTAAAGCTCTAGCAGCCTTGGGTAGCCTTGGGAGTTGGGAGTGGGAACCATGCTTAGGAAGCAACTGGAGAAAAGAAGCCTAATGCAACCATGAGATCCTGGAGCCTGACATACAGGTAAAGCTCAACATTTACCTATTAATAATTAATGATGAGTTTCACATCTTGAAGGCGATTTTTTAATGTAAATAAAATTCTGAGGCTTTTGAATGTAGATGCAAGAAGGCACCTGACTTCTAACTGTGTGTGTGTGCGTGTGTGTGTGTGTGCACGCACACACCTGTTTGTTTGTGTTTGGAGCATCATAGCTAATTGATGAACTATGATCAACTGAAAAGTCATGTTTATGGTATTAAAATACATTCTAATTATCATTAATACAATTTTCCTAGAAAAGAAAGATGAAGGAGGTAAAGTTGCAAGTGATTTCAGTGTAGTGGAAGGAAACTAGTGAGGTAGGCGGGATAGACACGGCCTCAAGATGGAGTCCCATTATGCAGGAAGGTACCCCATGGTAAAGAAGGGCACCTGTGTGTGTGTAGTCAGGTGAATATACTTTATATGTGCATGAATTATATACGTGAGCCACACACACGTACACACACACCTAAACACATCAATCAATTGCACATTTACTCTTTCATTCAATATCTATTTTATTTCAGGTGCTAGGTAGGTGCTGCTGATATAAAGATAATAAAAACTAATGTTTATTGAGAAACTCATATTATCCAAGAATTATGTTGAAAGCTTTAGAGTATCCCATTAAATCCTCCCTAGAACACTTTGGGGAGGTATTTGTAATGAACATTTCTAACTTTTTAAAAACCAGAGTGAATATAAACTTTTATTTTTCTTTCATTTCTACAAATAAAAGATAGTTTCTAGTTTTAGCTCAACACAAATTGAACTAACGAGAATCAAATTTACATCTGTCAGAAAAATAACAAATAGATGACCATTTCGTTTTTAAAATTTTTTGAATTTTTAGTTTTTGTGGGTACATAGTAGGTGTATGTATTTATGGGATACAGAAGATGTTTTGATACAGGCATGCAATGTGAAATAAGCACATCATGGAGAATGGGTTATCCATCCCCTCAAGCATTTATCCGTTGAGTTGCAAACACTCTTTAAGTTATTTTAGAGTTAACTTACTATTGAGTATAGTCACCCTGTTGTGCTATCAAACAGTAGGTCTTATTCATTTTTTCTAACGTTTTTTTTAATACTCATTAACCTTCCCACCAGATAACCTTTTAAAGTAGAGGCTTGTCTTCAAAGCTTGAAACACGTGGCTCAAAAT